>NC_000009.12:66591387-66757532 GCF_000001405.40 Homo sapiens
TGATAAAAGAAATTGAAGAGGACACAAAAAATAAAAAAACTCATATTCATGAATTAGAAAAATTAATATTGTTAAAATGTCCATACTACCCAATGTTAACTATAGACTCAAGACAATTCCTATCAAGTGACATTCTTCACAGATATAGAAAAAGCAAGCCTAAAATTCATGTGAAATCACAAAAAAGCCTGAGTATACAAAGCAACCCTGAACAAAAAGAACAAAGCTGGAGACATCACACTATCTGACTTCAAAATATACTACAAAGCTGCAGTGATAAAAAATAAAAAGCATGTTTATGGCATAAAAACAGACATATACACCAAAGGAATGAAATAGAGAACACAGAAACAAATCCATGTATTTATAGCCAACTGATTTTCATCAAAGGCCCTAAGAACATACACTGGGGAAACAACAGTATCTTTAATAAATGGTGCTGGGAAAACTGAGTAACCATATGCAGAAGAGTGGAACTTGACCCTGATCTCTCACCATATACAAAAATCAACTTAAAATGCATTACAGAGTTAAATGTAAGCCTCAAAACTGTGAACCTACTAGAACAAAACTTAGGTAAAATCCTTCAGGACATTGGTCCGAGCAAAGATTTATTGAGTAAGACCTCAAAAGCACAGGAAACCACAGCAAAAATTGACAAATGGGATTACATCGAATGAAAAACCTTCTGCACAGGAAAGGAAAAAATCAACAACGTGAAGAGACAACCTACAGAATGGGAGAAAATATTTGCAAAGTATTCATCGGATAAGGGATTAATAATCAGAATACACCATGATGCTCAAACAACTCAATAGCAAAAAAAAAAAAAAAAAAAAACAACAACAAATACTCTGATTTTGAAAGGGGCAAAAGATCTGAATAGACATATTTCTCAAAAGAAGAAAATCAAATGGCCAACACATAAATGAAAAAATGCTCAACATGATTGATGATCACAGAAATGCAAATCAAAATCACAATGAGATATCCTTGCACCCCAGTTAAAGTGGCTATTATCAAAAAGACAGAAAATGACAAATGATAAGGAGGATGTGGAGAAAGGGAAGTGCTCATACACTGCTGGTAGGAATGTAAATTCGTACAGGTACTGGAAATCTCCACACTGAAAAGCACTGTGGAGATTTGTCAATAAAACTAACCATAGAACTACCATATGATCCAGCAATCCCACTAATTGGTATATGGCCAAAAGATAAGAACTCAGTGTATCAAAGAGATATCTGCATTCCCATGTTTATTGCAGCAGCACTATTCACAATAGCCAAAATATGGAATCAACCTAAGTATCCATCAATGAATGAATGGGTAAAGGAAATATGGTATATATACACAATGGAATATTATTCAGCCAGAAGAAAGAATGAAATTCTGTCATTTGTAGCAACATAGATGGAATTGGAGGACATTATGTTAAGTGAAATAAGCCAGATACAGAAAGACAAATATCATGCTTTTACTCATATGTGTGGGCTAAAAAAATGGGAGGTAGTGAACAGAATGGTGTTTAGCAAAAACTGGGAAGGGTAGTGGGAGGAGGGCATGAAAAGGGGTTGGTTAATGGATATAAAATACAGTTAGATAGATAGAAGGAGTAAGATCTAGTGTTTGGTAGCACAATAGGGCAACTATAGTTAACAGTAATTTATTTTGTATTTCACAACGTTCTCAACACAAGAAAACAATAAATGTTTGAGGTAATGAATATCCCAGTTACCCATATCTGATCATTACACACTGTATGCTTGTATCAAAATATCACAGGTATTCTATAAATATGTACAACTATTATGTTTTCATAAAAATTAAAAATAAAAACTAGACTATTAATTGTTCTACTTTGTGGACATAAAATATCTTTCCATTTATTTGTGTTTTCTTCCATTTTCTTTCATCAGTGTTTTATAGTTTTCAGTGTACAGTTCTTTCACCTCCTTGGTTAAATTTACACCTAAGTATTTTATAAGTTTTTTGTTGCTATTGTAATTGGATTGCATTCTTTTTTTTTTTTCTGCCTCCCAGGTTCAAGCGATTCTCCTGCTTCAGGCTCCCGAGTAGCTGGGATTACAGGCACCCGCCATCATGCCCGGCTAATTTTTTTTGTATTTTTTAGTAGAGACAGGGTTTCACCATGTTGATCAGGCTGGTCACTCTAATTCCTGACCTCAGGTGATCTGCCCACCTCGGCCTCCCAAAGTGCTGGGATTACAGGCGTGACCGCCGCGCCCAGCCGGGATTGTATTCTTAATTTCCATTTTGGATAGCTCACTATCAGTTTATAGAAATGGTAAATCACCCTTTGTGGATAAAGCATGGGTACTCAGCAATTAGGAATAAACCCTTCAGCTAATGTCTAAGTTGCTTTCATTGTTACTTTATCTGTTTGATTTCTTGTCTAAAGTTTGATAATGGCAACTAACCCATTTTTAAGAGAAATTAAAATGGATAACATGCATGTGATATTCTGTGAAAATTGCATGACTTCTTTTAATTAATTTAAGGAAACTATAGATGTGTAGTTAGGGCTTTAAACCAAACTGGTGCAATTTATTTTCTGCTAAATTACAAAGTTATTTGATTGAATTGACAAGTAATATTGCTTTGTTTTATTTTTAATTCGTTACTGTGCAAATTCACATTTGGGGAATGTAAGATTATATAGGAAACCTTGAACCACCTTTAAATAACTATATTTTTATTTATTAAGCCACAAACAGTTTAGTTATGTTGTTATGAGCAAATATATTTACTATTTTTTCTCTGCAATAGGAATAGAGATTTCTTTTGCTCTTCTATCTCAACTGAAAAGCATATGTTTTCTGGATCACTGCCATTGGCTCCTTCCATAGTATTTAATAAATATATGCATTTCATAGTGTTAGGCTTGTATAAATACACTACTAACTTCTCTTCACTATAAATGAACTTGAGCAACTCTCATATCTACAATTTCTAGCACCAGAAAAGTGACATTTTCCTTTAAGATGGGTAATAGGCCTTTTGAGGTCATGGTGGAGTCATATACTCCCTTTTATGACAATTATTAGCACCACGTGAGGGCAGAGAGGAATGTAAAAAAAGTATCATTTCAAGTTACTAAGCTACAACCTGCCACCACTGATGGCATGTCCACTTACAGCTCACGAGCCAGCTCTTCATCAATAAGTGCTGCTTTGCAGTGGTTTGTAATTGAATTGTATGATGTAAATGTGGAGACAGCCAATCATGATGTTACAGGATCTTTGGGGTGTCGATTTTCTTGCCCAGAAACCTCTGTGGACAGTGGCATCTTTGCCTGAGTTCTTGTCCTGCATCCAGGAGGAATGAGGTACGCAGACAAAGGAATGGCGAAAAAGATTAAGAGGAGTTTTATTTAGTGTTAGAACAGCTCAGAGAAGACCCACAGTGGGTTGCTCCTCTCTGCAGGCAGGTCGTCCGGTGGAGTGTTCAGCTTTCAGCAGAGAGGAGGCCCTGGCGAGTGTGGCTCCTCTCTGCAGGCTGGTCATTTGGAGGTCTCTGCAGGTCTCTGAAGCTCTCAGTAGAGGGGAGAGTTCGTCTCTGCAGCTGGTCATCCCATCGTCTCTCTGTCCTCTGCCCTCTCTGGCAGAGCCCAGGGCTTTTATGGACCTCAGAAAGGAAGAAGTACCTGCCAACTGGTCCATGAGCAGCCATTGGCGGCCCAGAGGAGGGACAGATCCCCAGTCCTGTCCACAGGATTGGCAGTCTGGCTCCCAGCCTTCAGGCCCTCCCCGGCTTGAAGGTGGGGCTTTACTGGGGACCCATCCGCTTCTGCCCAGGACTCTCCCTCCCCCTGCCATTCAAGTCCCCAGGGCTCGACCAACCCTGTTGGGAGATTAAAGAGGGTGCCAGAAGAGGAGAGAGGCCAGGCAGTGAGAGCAGACATCCCGGAGCCAGCAGGGGGTGGCGGGTGCAGGCTGCCAAGATGCCAGGGTCCTGTGCCTGGGAGGGTGGCCTTAGTTGCACCCAGGGAGCTCCCACCCAGCCAACTCAGAAGGGGCGGGGCTTCTGCTTGTCTCCGTCTCCTGCCTGCTCCATGGAGCCGGAAGCCCAGGTCTGCAGCAGTGGGTTGGGTGGCTGCAGCTGTACCCAGGAGGGCAGATCCTGTCGGTTCCCAGCCCCCTCCAAGAGCACAGGGAAGCTTGGATCCACAGCTGCAGTTTGGGCTGGGCTACAGCCTGCTCCGTAGAGCAGGAGGCCTGGGTCTGCAGCCGCACCAGGGAACTCATACCCCAACTCAGAAGGGGTGGGGCTCCCACCAGCTTCATGGAGTATGCAGGCCCAGCCATGCCTCCCTGCTGTAGCCCGCATGATGGCTGCAGCTGCTGCCATCAATGAGAGAAAAAAAAGACAAAATTTACCAACATCAGTAATGAGAGAGGTGATCTCACTACATACATTACATATATTAAAAGGCATAATAAGAGATTACAATGCAAAGCTGTATGCCAGTATGTTTGACAGCTTAGAAGTAAAGGCAAATTCCTTGAAAGATGTAAACTACTAACACTGACTCAAGAAGAAATAGACGACATGAATAGTCTATTAATTAGATTGAGTTTATAGTTAAAAACCTTCCCACAAAAATTCCAGGCCCAGATGGCTTCGCTGGAGTTTTCTAGCAAACATTTAAGGAAGAAATAACAAATAAACATAAACTCATTCAGAAAATTGAAGAGGAGAGAATACTTTTGAACTCATTCTACAAGTCCAGCATTATTCTGACACCACATTCAGACAGACATTTTTTTTTCTTTTTTGAGACGGAGTCTCGCTCTGTCACCCAGGCTGGAGTGCAGTGGCGTGATCTTGGCTCACTGCAACCTCCACCTCCTGGGTTCAAGTGATTCTCCTGCCTCAGCCTCCTGAGTAGGTGGGATTACAGGTGCCCACCACCATGCCCTAATAATTTTTTGTATTTTTAGTAGAGACAGGGTTTCGTCATTTTGGCCAGGCTGGTCTCGACCTCCTGACCTCATGATCCGCCCACCTTGACCTCCCAAAGTGCTGGGATTATGGGCGTGAGCCACCATGCCCAACCTAGACAGACATTTTTAAAAAGTAAAAATACAGTACTTCATGACCACAGATGCAAAAAAATCTTAACAAAGTTTCAAAAAATTGACTTATACCAGTAATTCAAGTTTAGTTTACCATAATAAAATCAACCAAAGCAATTTGGCATAAAGACAAACATTCTGCAAAACAATTTGGCAGTTTCTTAAATGTTAAACAGATATCTACCATATGACATAGCTATTCTTGTCTAGGTATTTACCCAAGAGAAATGAAAGGATATTTTCATATGACCATCTGTGCATAAATGGTCATAGTAGCTTATTTATAACAGATGAAAACTGGACACAATTCAAATGCCCATCTTCAAATGAATGAACACACAAATTGAGCTATATTCACACAACGAGATACTACTCAGCAATAAAAAGGAATGAATTATTGATACATATTACACATTAATGAATTTCAAAATAATTCTGCTGAAAGAAAAAAGCCAGATAAAGAAAAGTAAATACTGTGTGGTTCCATTTATATGACATTCTGGAAAATAGAAACTAATCATGAGAGAGATCAGATCTGTGGTTGCCAGGGATTTGAGGGAAGCAGGGAGGTTATGGGGGAGGGGTTATCAAGAGGGAGGAGAATATTTTGCTGGGGTGATCGATATATTCCTTATTTTAATTGTGATGATAGTTTCATGGTTGTATACATATGTAAAAATTTAACAAGTCCTGCACTTTAAGCATGTGTGTTCATCATATGCCAATAAAGCCTCAATATGGCTGTTAAACAAAAATTACCGAACTGCTAAATATGTGTATCACTCTAGGAAATGAAAGACACCTCTTCAACTGCTTTTGTGTCTTGACTTTTTTCCCAAAGGAAGACCTATATTTTGCTTCATTTCTTTCTACTCTACATTTCTTTTTACTCTGCTTGCATTTAGTTTAAAAGAAAAAGCTCTCTGTTGGTGATTTCTAATCTATTTTAAAGTAAATAATTGTACTGTCCAATTAGAGACTGAGATAACTCATGAATTATCACACAGGTTGTTCTCCTGTACAATATATATGATTTTGAGTACTAATATTACACAGTGAATTCAGAATTGTGTGTATGTACATACATACCATAGTCTTATAAATAACTTCAACTTGCAATAATTAACTTGCAGTTAATTCTTACAGTAGTATGAGTTTGGGCCTCTTAAAAAAAGAACTAAAACCAACTCCCTGCCTGAGAATAGAAACACACACACACACACACACACACACACCAAATTGAATAATCTTGTTTTCTCGCTTACAATTGTGGGCATTCATTTATGGAATTCTTGGCAGCTATGTTAGCATAAAACCCCACCTATAATTATCATTCATATTAGAATAATATTTCACAAATGTGGTCAGTATTGTCTTCTGCAACATTACAGTTAGTTGGTGGAATAAGTTCTAGTGTTGTACAGCACTATAGGGTAACCACAGTAAACAACAGTGTGTTGTCTTTTTTTTCAGATACCTGGGAGAGAGGATTTTTCATGTTACCAACACAAAGAAATGATAAAGGTTTGAGGTCATGGGCATGCTAATTACCCTGATTTGATCATTATACATTTTATACATCTACTGAAATATCCCACTGTACCCCATAAATATGTACAATTATTATGTGTCAAGTAAAATATGAATATATATAGTAAATAAATAAATGAAGTAATTTGCCATTACTTAACATTTCATTAAATGTATGTTTCCAAAATTATATTTGTTCTTGAGACCTTTTGAGTGATCACAGTTTCTGCTATTCTCCATAAGGCCTCAGTTTGACAGGGTGATGAAATCTTGAATAAAACTCAAAAGAATGTGTTTGTATTTGCAGTGCTTCCCTTGCAGGTGAAATGGCCACCAGACCCAGGCTTTCTGGAATGCATTCATTTTCTGCAGTTGAAAGGGACAATCCCGGATCTGAAAGAAAGAGCCACAGTGACTCCAAGAGTGGAGCCAGGGCATGCTGGACACTGCATAGCTATGGCCACGTGTGTCACCTCTGAGGGAGATGTGAGAGAAACGCAGAGGGATCGCTTGTGACTGTGCCTTCTCGATGTATGATGGACTGTTCTGCTCAAATAGTAAGTGTGACCAAGGAGCCGGTGAACATAGGAAACAAAGAATATTTCATTTGACATTATAAGGAATGCGACAATTCTAGTCACTTGAAAGTGAACTATATCTGTCGAGAATTCCTAGTTTTAATTGGGAAGAAATGCGCTTCTCTTCTTGAAAAGCCACAGGTTATTGCTGTTATGTCTAATATCAGTCCTCTCTGGATTTCTCAAAAGATTTTCTGTATATCCTACCATTTTCCTTCTGTTGCTGCAGTTTGGAAGTAGTTTGTTATCAGGATTATCAAAGCATCATTGCTATTTATGACAATGACTTTAAGAAATGCAAGAATATTTGGAACACTGTAGAAAAAATATTTTAGCCTGGAAGGCAAATACTAATTTCAGGAACTATTGATCTGTTATAAAACAGGACCACTCAGACATTTAGCTCTAAGACTTTCACATATCCGTTGTTAGAGGCGTATAGTGGGGGGAATGACTCAGCTTCTGCTTAAGTACAAGGTGTTGTCTGCAGCGAAGGAAGAATTTGATTGTAGTATCAACAGAACCAGACAGAACTCTTTGAATATAATTATATATCTTGGAAACTGACTCATCAAAGCTATTAGATTACATGGCATCATTTAAGCATCACTGGGCTCTGTACTTTTCATTATCTGTACTTTTCATTATGGAGTATAATAGGCTTTATTTGGTACAGAAATTGGGTCTAAGATGAAACAACTTGTGATTTTTGAATAAACTTTTGGGGATTAGTTACTTTGATGTTGTCAAGATAGCACCATAGTAAGTCCTCTGTCTTTCCTCTTGATTTATTTATAATTTAGAATCAGTTTATGATTTTAAAAAATGTGACAGACACAGTGGCATGCACCAGTAGTACCAGCCACATGGGAAACTGAGGCAGAAGGATCACTTGATCCCAGAAGATAGAGACCACCCTGGGCAACATAGTGAGAGCCCCATCTCAAAAAAAAAAAATCAATTCCCAATACCATTCCAGAACACTTTTAATATAACCAGATGAAATTGTGATCACTACTTTACTGTAATGTTTAAAATGGTCCTCAGTCCATATTTAAGTACAATCTTAGTGTTTCTGTGCAACCTAATATATTAGAAACAAAAATTGTATTGCATTTGAATAGGAAATACTCTGAATTGAGGGTTATTTCTTTTAACAGTTGCAATTAGATTGGTTAGTGACAATTATCTGTAATTTTCAGGCAATGCCTAGGCAAGTGCCCAAGGCACAGTAGCCTCCTCCTTGCCTCCGTGTGTGTGTGTGTGTGTGTGTGTGTGTGTGTGTGTGTGTGTGTGTAGGGTGGTAACATTTCTGGGAATTTGTCTTAACATAAAATGATACCACCTTTCACAAAACGACCTAGAGGAAGTTGGAAATCCCACTATCCTGGCTTCCTGCTGAGCAATATCTGCTTCTCTTTCTGACTCAGGCTGATGCATCTGTATACTTAGCTTCACTTCTCCAGTAAATAAGGGAGAGCTTTATTATAAAAGACAACTTCTATTGATTTTCAAGGGGGTGGGTGGTTGTCAAGCTCACTCCTTTCTATGCACTGAGGGAAAATTATTGTAAGCGATCTGTAAAACAATAGATGAAAAAAGAGGAGATAAAAATTAAATAAAATTTAAATAAAAACTAGGATCCTAAGTGGAAAAATAGCTTTAAATTAGAAATTGATACCAAAAAATAATGATATGTAATCTAAGGTGAAAATATTTTGAAGACTATCACGATATCTCCCTTAAATGTTATTTAGTTCTGAAAAATATGTATTGAAGAACTGTTATATTTTACTTTATGTCATATTAAGTGTGGTAAAATTAAAGAGAAACAAGTAGATAAAAGTAAAGATTGTATTATTATTTTATCACTCAGGTTATTTCAAGACTGGAGACATTCTTTAAATAAACCTAAATTATGACTCCTTGCACTTAAGTTTTGCTAACATAAAAAGTATGTATGATTTCAGAGATTTCTGCATATTTTGGAATGAGCTCTTCAGTTGCTTGTAATTTCCAAGAAGATTACCCATTTTACCCCTTAACTAAAACCCCTGTTCCTTTACTGCCTTGCTGCTTCACTTCATGGGGATATGTCACTGACCAGAGAAACGATCACATTGAATTTCTGAGCCACGCTGTTTTGTATGGTTAAAATAAGATGCTCAAAGTATGATTTCACAAATCACATGGTTATTGCCATGCAAGGAGAATTTGTTTTCTTAAGTTCACAATGCTCAAAAAGGAGAAGAATAATGTGAACAAATCTACAGGGAATACACTCAAAAGATGAGGCACATTAACCACAGAGGGAGTGAGTTCCAAATATTAAAGTCTAGTTCCTGAAGTAGAAATGGAAGCAGGCCTCTGTGGAAAGGCAAATCGAATGAAAGTTTGAGGTGCACCTTTTTTTCAAGCGAATTCTCTGGAGAGATGGTGTCTTGACACCATGGAGATCCTCAAAGACATCTGGGGTCCCTTGACACCAGTGGGTGGTGCCAGTGATGCAGGCGAGGCTTCAAAGCTCAGCTGCTGACAGGGTGGGGCTCTGTTGCTGCATGAGTTCAGTCTTCCAAGAATTGACTGGCAGGGCAATCCTGTCACAGAATATGCTCTCCATTTTTGGAGAAGTGGCTGAGACTTACTGAAGTTCTCAAAGTGTTCATCGAGCTCTTATGTTTATATGTATTTTGAAATCCAGTGGTTGAGGTCAGTAACTCACATATGATGGGTCTGATGAGCTTTGACATTGCATTCTTTTCCCCCCCACGAGACGGTGTCTTGCTCTGTCACCCAGGCTGGAGTGCAGTGGCCTGATCTCAGCTCACTGCAACCTCTGCCTCCTGGGTTCAAGTGATTCTGCTGCCTCAGCCTCCTGAGTAGCTGGGATTACAGGCGCACGCCACCACACCCGGCTAATTTTGTATTTTCAGTAGAGACGGGGTCTACCATGTTGGCCAGGATGGTCTCGAACTGGCTACTCTCAAACTCCTGACCTCATGATCCTCCGTCCTCGGGCACCCAAAGTGCTGGGATTACAGGCAGAAGCCACCGCTCCCGGCAGACACCGCATTCTTGAGGGCTGGAGGGAGTACAGTCTAAGTTCTTGTTACAGCAAAACATAGCAAACTATGCAAGTCTTTGGAATAATTCCAAAACTACATAATAGACATGAGCTCCAAGCTTACTGATTTATGTGTGTGCCTTCTCTGAGGAATATCTTTTGGTTATCCTTGTGCAACATGGCAAATATTTTTTAAAGTGAATGAGAGTTAATGAGAAAATTAAATTATAAAAATATTATGGCAATGAGGTGGATCATCGCAGTGTTCAAGCTACAGATAAAAATATGACATGCCCTCCAACTTTCATTCTCTTTTATTTTTCAGTAATATTCAAAATATTTATTGCAAAAGTTAGCATTTCAATGATGAAATTAAGATGCCTTTCAGTTCAAGTTTGGCAATTTTACATATTTCATGTGAAACTCTGATTTGAAATGTTGCTGAGGGTCTTTAGTATTGCATATGAATAATAAAAATCAAATTTGCCACATATTGGAATAAGATATACAGTATTTTATATGGCAAATGTTTCTCTTCCTTTTAAGAGAAGAAGAGAAATATTAAGGTGGTTATTACTCAAGTGAATCCTACTTTAAAGTAACTTTCTAATAGTTGAGAAGTCACTTATGCATACCTACGTGAGGAAGAAAGTTGAATTGACTGTCATTCATTCAGCCCAGTGGGACATCAAACTCTCCAAACCTTTCACAGTAGGAAAACAAAGCCAGGCCTCCTTAACTATGCTACATGGCAAGTCAAAACATGAACATAATATCTGAAAAAGCCTGAAAAACAACTCTGGCTAACTAGATCTCATTGCAGGCAGTGAGAGAGTGGTGGCAAATGTGAACATGTCTGTGTGGGGTGGTGGCAGGGGAATTGGAATATACGAATCCAAGGAAAACTGACTCTTGGCAAATTACTTGTTTTGGTGCTCCTCTTCATTTTTTTTATTATGGTAGAAGACTTTGTATACAAATTTCTCACTGTACAAAAAACAAGTTCTTCAGTTATTGCATTTCTGCAATATATTAAAATACACGAGAAAATCACATTAAAAAGAGGCATGATTATAGAAACAAAATGTTATTGCAATACGATATCAACTTATAATTCATAATTATTTTGTAAATATCAAATTATAAGTAATTTATGAGAAATTAGAGCCAAAGCTTTTCATACTTACTTTAGTGTTTTTCTAAAGGGAAAACGTGGTGAAAGAATTGTAGAGAAGACACAGCTTATCATTAATCCATTTGTCTTGATACTTAACACAGTATTGGTGGCGCATTGGTTCCAGGACTCCCTGGGGAACCAAAACCCATGGATGCTTGAGTTCCTTATGTAAATGATGAAGTATTTGCATGTAACCCACACATACACTCTCTCTTTAAATAATCTCTGGGTTACTTATAATTCCCAATGCAATGTAAACACTATATAAATCGTTGTTTTACATACTGTTTTAAAATTTGTGTTATTTTTAATTTTTGAAGATATTTTATCCATGACTGGATGAATCCATGGATGTAGAACCTAGGGATAGGAAGGGCTGACTGTAACTGAGCTCAGAGATTCTGGAAAAGCACTTAAGTAATCAATATTCCAGGAAGGGGGACTTAAAAAGATCCTTGACTCTACATGAGAAGTTTTAAATACAGTTTTTTTTTTTCCTTTTTAGGGAGTTTGCAGGTCAGGTACAGGCTAGACTGACATCAAGATTCAGATTCCTTTTACTTTGATTTAAAAAACTTAGCTGATAGCAGTTTCACCATTTTAAAATGAACATGAAAGAAGAAATTGTAGAGATAATGCAATAATTAAAATTATGACTTGCTAGCATCAATGAGTTTACACAAACATTTGATAATAAATGACTGGGAAACAATGCCCAACCAATGATATACATATATATATATATATATATATATATGTATGTATAAGTAAGAAGTGAAGTCAAATATAATTACAGCATTTTGTTTGGTTTTGCTTTTGTTCTTTGCTTTGCTTTTGTTTAACAATGAGAATCTATCCAAGCTATTATTAACATTTGATTACTTAGATGTCAAGTTTTGCTTTTAGTTCATAAGGAAACAGTCGATTTTATCGCTGGATACTACTGGTAGAAACTTTGAATTGATATTTCGGTGAAAACCAATTTTCATTGAATTGTCAAACCACAAATGCTATATATAATAGCAATTTAGAACAAGAAAAACAACCTGATTTTGATTAAAATGAGGATAAATAATGAAAAGTCACCACAAAATAAATTTTACTCTGTTGCTGGCTTTTGAAGAAAATCATTTAGATATTAAATCTATAGATAGAACATTTCTCTGCCTCATGTAATATTTTATTCTTAGTTAAAAGGTTTGAGGTATAAAGTAATGCATTGTATTTCTTTGTAGATCCTCCCAGTTATAGATATCCTATGAAGCAAAGTAAATCGGGAAAGGAGATAGCAGATGGAGTGGCAGCTTATGACATTCTATAAGTTGGTTAAAAATATTTTCCTCTTAGTATATAAATCTTGGAATTGATCTCTTAACCTTTTTGGTAGCACTAACAGGTGGTTTATTTTATGATTTTTTTCCTTGGTTTCCCTTTGCTTCCTGTCTTTTTATCACAAAGTTACTCTTCATTTGAATGCTTCTATTGGAAGAAATTGTTAGGTTAACAGAATGCAAGGAGACAAGTCATCCTGTCAGGTACAGAATTCAGTGCTGTCAAATTTCTTGTATTGGGGAAAATTTTAGGTAGGTGGAAGAAAAACCTTTCCCTTCACATAACAGATCAAAAGTGTCATGTCACCAGCATGAGAACCATTTGTCATGCTGAAAGAAACTTCTTTTCTTAAGTTTATGAATAATTACATCATGAGTGACAATCAAGATAAAAACTGTACTTTTATCTAAGTGCACATGTAATCGTGAGTAAAGTGCTTCCTGAAAGATGAGCAAGTATATTGCTTGAAAAATAATCTTACACTTATCTGTCTCACTTAGCAATCAAGCACACTGAAACGTGTTATTCTTCTAATAATTCAGGCAGGAAAAAATGTGATCAAAGTATTTGTAAAATTCATAGCTTCTGTCTATGTCTTCATCAGTGGTCAACCCAGAAACTTTCATTTAATGAGACAACTAAGATTAAGTTTGGAATAAAAGAACTGTATGAATTAATTTTAGAATGCTATATTATTTGTCTTCTGACTTATGAACTGTATGAATTAATTTTAGAATGCTATATTATTTGTCTTCTGCCTTCATTTAATTCTTATGGAATTTGAATTTTTCATAAAAAGTGGTTCTGAGCAAGTGCTGCAGTGGATACAAGATAACTGGATCCTAGCACTGGCTCTTCCATTTACAAGTTGCATGATAGACTGTGACAAGGCATCTGATATGGTTTGGCGCTTCTCTGTGTCCCCACCCAAATCTCACGTTGAATTGTAATCCCCACTGTTGTGGGAGGGAACTGGTGGGAGGTAACTGGATCCTGGGGGAAGATTTCCCCCTTGCTGTTCTTGTGATAATGGGTTCTCTCAAGATCTAGTTGTTTAAAAGTGTGTAGCACCACCCCCTTCACTCTCTGTCCTGCTGGCCAAGTGAATATGTGCTTGCTTCCTCTTCACTTTATGCCATGATTGTAAGTTTCCTGAGGCCTCCCCAGCCATGCCTCCTGCACAGCGTATGGAACTGAGAGTCAATTAAGCCTCTTTTTAAAAATAAATTACCCAGTCTCAGGTAGTTCTTTATAGCAATAAACTAATACAGAAAATTGGTAGCAGAGAAGTGGGACATTGCAGTAAAGATACCTGAAAATGTGGAAGTGACTTTGGAACCGGGTAGCAGGCAGAGGTTGAAACAGTTTGCAGGGATCAGAAGAAGACAGGAAGATAAGGGAAAGTTTGGAACTTCCTAGAGACTTGCTGCATGGTTGTGACCAAAATGCTGATAGTGATACGGACAGTGAAGTCCAGGCTGAAGTGATCTCAGATAGAGATGAGGAACTTATTGGGAACTGGAGTAAAGGTCACTGTTGTTATGCTTTAGCAAAGAGACTGATGGCATTGTGCCCCTGCTCTAGGGATCTATGGAACTTTGAACTTGAGAGAGGTGGTTTAGGGTATCTGTTGGAAGAAATTTCTAAGCAGCAAAGCATTCAAGAGGTGGTCTGGCTGCTTCTAAAAGCCTATGCTTATTTGCATAAACAAAGAAATGACCTGCAACTGGGACTTACATTTAAAAGGGAAGCAGAGCATAAAAGTTCAGAAAATTTGCAGCCTGGCCGTGTGGTAGAAAAGAAAACCCATCTTCTCGGGAGTAACTCAAGAAGGCTGCATACATTTGCATAAGTAAAGAGGAGCCGAATGTTAATAGCCAAGACAAGGGGGAAAATGCCTCTGAGATATTTCAGAGAACTTCAAGGCAACCCCTCCCATCACAGGCCTGGAGGCAAAAATGGTTTTATGGGCCAGGCTCAGGGACCCACTGCTCTGTGCAGCCTAGGGACATGGCACCCTGCATCATGGAGACTTCAGCTGCAGCATTGGCTAAAAGGGGCAAGATACAGCTTGTCCATTGCTTCAGAGGGTGTAAGCCCCAAGCCTTGGTGACTTCCACATTGTGTTGGGCCTGCAGGTGTGCAGAAGGCAAGAGTTGAGGTTTGGGAGCCTCTACCTAGGTTTAAGAGGATGTGTGGATGTCCAGGGAGAAGTCTGCTGCAGGGGTGGAGACCTCATAGAGATCATCTACTAGGGCAGTGCAGGAGGGAAATGTGGGGTTGGAGGCCCCACACAGAGTCCCCACTGTGGCACTGCCTAGTGAAGCTATGAGAAGAGGGCCACTGTCCTCCAGATCCCAGAATGGTAGATCTGCTGACAGTTTGCACCATGTGCTTGGAAAAGCCACAGTCACTCAATTCCAGCCTGTGAAAGCAGCCATGGGGGCTGTATGCTGCAAAGCTACAGGGGCAGAACTTTCCAAGGCCTTGGGAGGCCACCCAGTGCATTAGTGTATCCTGGATGTGAGACAAAGTCAAAGGAGATTATTTTGAAGCTTTAAAATATAATGACTCCCCTGCTGGATTTCAGACTAGCATGGGACGTGTAGCCCTTTTGTTTTGGCCAATTTCTCTCATTTGGAATGGGAGCATTTACACAATGACTGTACCCTTATTGGATCTTGGAAGTACGTAATTTGTTTTCGGTTTTATAGGCTCATAGGTGGAAAGGACTTGCCTTGTTCCAGATGACACTTTGGACTTGGACTTTTGAGTTAATACTGGAAGGAGTTAAGACTTTGGAGGACTTTTGGGAAGGCATGCTTGTGTTTTGAAATGTGAGAAGGACATGAGATTTGGCAGGGACTAGTGGTGGCATAATATGGTTTGGCTATGTGTTGCCACCCAAATCTCATGTTGAATTGGGACCTGGTGGGAGCTGATTAGATCATGGGAGCAGATTCCCCCTTGCTGTTCTCATGATAATGAGTGAGTTATCATGAGACCTGATGTTTTAAAAATGTGTGGCACTTCCCCCTTCACTCTTTCTCTCCTGCTCTGCTATGGTAAGACATGCTTGCTTCCCCTTCACCTTCTACCATGATTGTTAAGTTTCCTGAGGCTTCCTAGTTATGCTTCCTGTACAGCCTGTGGAACTGTGAGTCAATTAAACCTCTTTTCTTCATAAATTACCCAGTCTCACTGGGCGCAGTGGCTCATGCCTGTACTCCCAGCACTTTGGGAGGCTAAGGTGGGTGGATCATGAGGTCAAGAGATTGAGACCATCCTGGCCAACATGGTGAAAACCTGTGTCTACTAAAAATACAAAAATTAGCTGGGTGTGTTGGCATGTGCCTGCACTCCCAGCTACTCAGGAGGCTGAGGCAGGAGAATTACTTGAACCCGGAAGGCAGAGGTTGCAGTGAGCCAAGACTGTGCCACTGCTCTCCAGCCTGGCTACAGAATGAGACTCCATCTCAAAAAAAAGAAAAATTCCCCAGTCTCGGGCAGTCCTTTATAGAAGTGTGAGAACGGACTAATACAGCAACTATTCTTCTGTGTCTGTTTATTCATCTGTAAAATTGAGGAGATTGGAATAAATGATCCCTCTATATCCCTTCTACCTTTGATGCTTTATGAATCCAGGTTAAAGTGTGTGGTACAATTTAAGAAGGCTCCTTTTAATATTTGTATATCCATTAAGGACTCTTAGCTCAGAACTTCAGTATTATTCAATGACTCTCTCTTTCTGTCTTCCTCCTTCTCTCTCTTTACCCGCATTCAGATCAACATATAGAACATTTCCATTACCTAGGAAGTTTCCTGTGTCCTTTCCAAAACAATCTCTTATCACCATTGATTAGTTTTGCCTCTTCTTGAACATATAAATGGAATCATACAGTATGTCACCTTGTGTCTTGCTCATTTCCCTTAGCAAAATGTTTTGATATTCCTCCAATTTTTGGTTGATATTTTTAGTTCATTCCTTTCCACTGTTATGTACTCTTCCATTATATGAATGGAATTCATACAATGGATTTGTTTATCCATTCTTTTATTGATGAATTTTTGGGTAATTTCCAATTGTTGGCTATGAATCTCCTGTATTAGCTTTGCAGCTGTAATGAAACTTTTAGTCATTTCCCTCAAGATCACAATATGTTCTCTTATTATTACTTTGGCCACTTCCCAAAGAATGCAAGATCCTTACAAGTTTACTTCCATGTATTTGTGTATCTCTCACCCTTGTGCCATTGTTGTAATACACTTTTTTATTGCATTTTATATTTCTACAAGATATTATTATTATTGTAGTTTTAAAAAGCTTTCACTACTATTTACTCATGTTTGCCCTTTCTCTGCACTTCATTTATTCTTGCATTCCCCCCTGCTGCTTTTGTTTTCTGGTTTTTGATTGCCAATAAGAGCTACAGAAAATCATGAAATATTTCTTTTAATTGTTTCTACATTTAATGTTTAATTGTTTTTGTGCTTATTGTTAGTAACTTTTTGAAACACCTTTCATTCCTTTAAGTAGAGAGGCTCTTCAGCCAAATTTTTATTCCTTAATATTTCTTTTTTCTTCCAGACATTTTGTTGTTGATGAGAGCAGAAAAGATTTCCCTTTTTGGAAAACATTATCGGGCAAAATATTTTATGGGCCAATGCCTCCATAACCTGAAACAATTGAAAGAATTCTGGATTGAAATGATAGAAATTTTATTGGCTTCTGGATTTCTTGCTGTAGATTTTTTAAGAGAAAAAATGTATTAAATCTGTTTTTAAAGTTACTAAACAACTCTACTAAAAATTGTCATGCAAGTGAAAATTGTCCTCAGCTTCTTAGGCTACCATGTGACATTTACTTCACTACTAAGCTTCACCCAAATCACGCTTTTCCCATCCCTTTCTTGCCTGAGATGCTTAATGTTTTTTCTCCTTTTTTTCTGTCAAAACCAAAGTGTATTTGTTTTTCCATGCTAAGAGTTGATAAAATATTGTCCCACTGAGGCATAAATTAGTAAGAAAATGCCAACTATTAGTTCTCCCAGTTGGTTTTATTTTTTTCATTACATTTTAGTAGGAAAAATAGGTTTTAAGTTAAAAGAAAGGAACCCAAAGATGGAGTTTCAAGACATCCAATAGGAAAGACAGATAGAAATACATTTCTCTATATAGATATGTGTACATATGTTTATACATATAAATATAGATATAGATATGTGTGTATGTACATATTTCTGTATCAGTCATGGTCCAGGTGTAATTTAAAACTATTTATGGAAATACTACATAAAGCACATTTATTTATTAAAAAGACGGATTTCCATAGTGGAGTATAAAGTTCTTTAAACAGTTAATAGGAAGACTAGTCAGGACAGAATTAGAAAAATTTATGTGAATCACCTCCAAGATATGAGAGAATTACGTGCCAGGTGTACCATAAAACAAATTATATTAGTGTTGAATATTGCATATAAGAGTATAACATAATTATGAATATAAAATATATATTATAAATAGAATGTCATTTACCAAGGTTTACCACATTAAATAATACTGTTTTTTAACCTTAAAACATACATTGTAATAAAAGTTATGATGTTCAGAATTCTAAGTATAGCATGACAAAACCCTTCTCCTATTATTTTCTTTAAAATATATAAAAAACTTTTGCTGCTTTTTGGTGGATAATAACACACACACATGTACACACACACACGTGCATCCCCATTACCTTTTAATGGAACAAGGCAAGTCCTTTAATGGGGAAACATGCATTCCTATTACCTTTTAACGGGACAGTCACCATTAAAAATGTCTGCAGTTACGTATTTCTAAAATCAGCTCTGTGGGTAAGAAATTTAATGTAGCTGCCGATTCTGTGCGGTTCTGGGGAAATAATAGTTTACAATCTTCTAATTTGCCTCTAATTTCACTTCCAACTCCAACCTGTGCTCCTGAAGCAAGACGTTTTTGGACCGTCAGCAGGCAGATGAAGGCCTGAGAGTGGTAGGAGAGCTATTGTGGGCTTTCCTACCTCAGGGCTAGAGGAGGGCTTGGAGACCGGCAAAGGAAAAGATGGACCATTTCAAGTCTCAGAGCAAAAATACTAAGAGACAAAGTTGGGATGGAAAATGAAAGTGACGTGGCAATCGATAGAGGAAATTTACACAAATCTGAAAATTCTGAAAAAGAAAAAGAAGCAGAGACAATGACTATGCATCCAAAGAGAAGAAAACTCTGAGCAAATTAAAAATGTGAGCTGCACATTCCCATTACTGGGTATATACCCAAGGGATTATAAATCATTCTACTCTAAAGACACATACACATGTATGTTTATTGCAACACTATTTACAATAGCAAAGACTTGGAACCAACCCAAATGCCCACCAATGATAGACTGGATAAAGAAAATGTGGGACATATACACAGTGGAATACTATGTAGCCATAAAAAAGAATGAGTTCATGTTCTTTGCAGGGACATGGATGAATCTGGAAGTCATCATTCTCAGCAAACTCACACAGGAACACAAAATCAAACACTGCGTGTTCTCACTCCTAAGTGGGAGCTGAACAATGAGAACACATGGACACAGGGAGGGGAATATCACACACTGGGGCCTGTTACGGGGTTGGGGGGCAAGGGGAGGGGGTATTAGGAGAAATACCTAATGCCTGTGGGGCTTACAACCTAGATGATGGGGCCGGGCGCGGGGGCTCCTGCCTGTCATCCCAGCACTTTGGGAGGCCGAGGCGGGCGGATCACGAGGTCAGGAGATCGAGACCATCCTGGCTAACACAGTGAAACCCCGTCTCTACTAAAAATACAAAAAATTAGTCGGGCGTGGTGGCGGGCACCTGTAGTCCCAGCTACTCTGGAGGCAGAAGCAAGAGAACGGCGTGAACCTGGGAGGCAGAGCTTGCAGTGAGCCAAGATCGCGCCACTGCACCCCAGCCTGGATGACAGTGCGAGACTCCGTCTCAGAGAAAAAAAAAAATCTAGATGACGGGTTGATAGGTGCAGCAAACCACCATGGAACATGTATACCTATGTAACAAACCTGCACTTTCTACACACGTACGCCACAACTTAAAGTAAAAAAAAAAAAAAGGCCTGGTGCAGTTGCTCACGCCTGTAATCCCAGCACTTTCAGAGGCCGAGACGGGCAGATCACAAGGTCAGGAGATGGACACCATCCTGGCTAACACGGTGAAACCCCGTCTCTACTAAAAACACAAAAAATTAGTCGGGTGTGGTGGCGGGCACCTGTAGTCCCAGCTACTCTGGAGGCAGAAGCAAGAGAACGGCGTGAACCTGGGAGGCGGAGCTTGCAGTGAGCCAAGATCACGCCACTGCACTCCAGCCTGGGCCACAGAGCGAGACTCCGTCTCAAAAAAAATAGATAAATAAATAAAGTGAGCTGCAGTTTGAAAGGGCTCACCAACTTAGACTGATGGTATTTGTGTTGTTTGAGTTTCTTATGTTTTGGATATTGACCCTTTATTAGCTGTATAGTTTGCAAATATTTTTTCCCGTTCTGTGGGCTGTCCCTTCACTTTAAAGGTTTGCTGTGAAGAAGCTTTTTAGTTTGATGCCATTTTATTTCTCTCTTTTTGCTTTTTGCTTCTGTTGCCTGTGCTTTTGGGGTCATATCCAAATAATCATTGCCCCAGCCAATGTTGTGGGGATTTTTCTCTGTTTTCTTTTAGTAGTTTCACAGTTTCAGATATTATGTTTAGATTTTTAATCCATTTGGGTTGATTTTTGTATGTGGTATAAAATATGGATCTGATTTCATTCTCCTTCATGTGGATAGCTAGTTTTCCCCACACTATTTTTTGAAGATATTGTCCTTTCCCCATTGTGTGTTCTTGGCACCTTGGTCAAAAATCAATTGATCATACATGCATGGGTTGATTTCTGGGCTTTCTATCCTGTTTCATCAGTCAGCTTATTTTTATGCCAGTGTCATGCTATTTTCATTACAATAACTTCATAAGATTTTTGAAATTAGGGAGTGTAATGACACCAGCTTTTTTCCTTTTGCCCAAGATCGTTTTGACTCTTTAGGGTCTTTTGTAATTCCACATAAATTTAAGGATATTTTATATTGCTGTGAAAAATGACATTGGAATTTTGAGAGAGATTACATTGACACTGTAGATCATTTTGGGTTGTATGGACATTTTTGAAAGAGCGGTGTTGAGGTTCCATAATATTGTAGTATTGCCATTTATTTATCCCTTCATGTCATTTAATAATTGCTTTACGTATTTAGGTGCTCTGATGTTGGGTGCATATATAATTACAACTGTTATGTCCTCTTGGTGAACTGACCCCTTTCTCATTATTTAATGACCTTCTTTATCTCTTTTTACAGTTTTTGATTTAAAGACGATTTTGATTGATATAAATATAGATACTCCTGGTCTCTGTTGGTGTCTATTTGCAATGAGTATCTTTTTCCATACCTTCAGTTTCAGTCTGTATGTGTCCTCACTAGTAGAGAGAGTCTCTTGTAGGCAGCATATGGTTCTTTAAAAAGAAAATTTATTCAGCTGTCCTGAGTCTCTTGGTTGGAGAATTTAATCTGTTTACATTCAAAGTAATTACTGATAGGTAAGCACTTGCTACTGCTGTTTTGTCATTCATTTTCTGAATTTTTTGTAAGTCCCTGTTTCTTTATTTCTCTCTTGTTGTTTTCTTTTTGCTTTGTGGTTACCATGAGGCTTACATAAAATATCTGAGCTTTATAACACGCTACATTAAGCTGATAATAATTGAACTTTAATCTCATACTCTCACTCCCCCCTTTTATAATTTTGATGTAAAATTTTTAATTTGTTTTTGTAATTTGTATTCCTTAACAATTGCAGCTACAGTTGATTTTAATAGTTTTTCCTTTTAATCATCACAGTAAGGATACGATTGCTTTATGTATCACCCATACAGTGTTAGAGAATGAGTTTGATTATGTATTACTTAATACCATTGAGTTATTGAGATTTTTACATGCATTTTTTTTTGTTATTAAGTAGAAACCTTCCATTTCAGCTTAAAGAACTGCCTTTAGCCATTCCTGTAAAGCAGGGATAATGTAATAGACTCCCTTAGGATTTGTTTGTCTGGGGAAGTTGGAATTCTCTCTTATTTCTTTTTTTATCTTTTTTTTTTTTTTTGAGATGGAGTCTTGCTCTGCTGCTGCAATCTTGGCTCACTGCAACCTCTCCCTCCCAAGTTCAAGTGATTCTCCTGCCTCAGGCTCCCAAGTAGCTGGGAATACAGGTGCACGCCACCACACCCAGCTAATTTTTGTATTTTTAGTAGAGATGGGGTTTCACCGTGTTGGCCAGAATGGTCTTGATCTCCTCACCTCGTGATCTGCCCACCTAGGCCTCCCAAAGTGCTGGGATTACAGGCGTGAACCACCCTGCCCAGCCAATTCTCTCTTATTTTTTAAGGACAACTTTGCCAAGTAAAAAATTCCTGGTTGGCAGTTCTTTTTCTTCAGCACTTTGAATATATCACCCCAATCTCTCTTGGCCTGCAGAGTTTTTGCTAAGAAGTCAACTGAAAGTCATATTGTGGTTTCTTGAATGTGATATGTTTCTTATCTCTTGCTGCTTTCAGTTTTGTTTCTTTGTCTTTGATTTTTGATAAATTGATTATGTTTTATCTTGGTAAATTCCTTTTTGAGTGGAATTTGATTGGAGACTTTTGAGCTTCCTGTATTTAGATGTCGTCATCTTTCCCCAGATTGGGGAAATGTTCAGCCATTTTCTTAAATATCCTTTTTGGGCCTTCTTCTCTATCTTCTTCTGAATCTCCGATTATGTGAATATTAGTTTGCCTGATGGTATCTCATAATTCCTGTAGGCCTCCTTTATTCTTTTTCTTTTTGCTCTTCAGACTGGATAATTTCAATATACCTATCTTTGAATTCAGTGATCCTTTCTTTTGCTTGATCAAGTCTGCTGTCAAAGTTTTCCATTGACATTTTCAGTTAAACTATTGTATTCTTTATACCTCAGATTTCTATTTGGTTTCTATTTATCATCTCTAGTTCTTTGTCAATTTCTCATTTTGTTCATGAATTGGTTTCAAACTTAATTTAATTTAACTGGAGTTCCCTGAACTTCTTTAAGGGGGTTATCCTGAACTCTTTGTCAGTCATTTTATAGATCACCTTATATTCCAGAGCTATTATCTGATCTTTATTATTTTCTTTTAGTGGTGTCATATTTCCCTGACTTTTCATAATACTTCTGTCTTGCATTGATGCTTCTGTGTTTGAGGAGACGGCCACCTCTTCCAGGCTTTGACAGATCTTTACTACTTCGTAGGAAGGGATTCTGGATGTGTTAGCTGGCAATGACCCTGGACGGGCAGAGCTTGGTGTCAGGTTCTCTAGTTGGGCTGTGTCACTTCCTGAGCCCTAAGGTTGAATGGTACTGCTAACTGGACTCTGCAGTTCACTCTGATCCAGCAGGATTGTAGGCTGTCTCCGCTGGTTGGATGGTATTGTTGTTTAGAATCTATAGTTGAGCAGGCCTTTGTGCTGAGCTCTATGGTCTACTAAAGACTCTGGTGTTGTTGCTCAGCTACACAGGGCTGATCAGGGCTAGAAGCCATTATGCCCCACACATATGTGCGGACTTGATCTTGTCTCCTGGCCTAAGGTAGGCTTAAACAAAGCTTAGTGGAGTCCCTGGTCAGCTGCTGGTGCTGGGTGGGGACCAGATGTACCCTCTGCAGAGAAGTGCTGATGTTCACTTGCCTTCTAGCCTGGGCAATGCTGTAGAAAGCACCAGGTCTATGTAGGAAAGCTGGCGAGGGATGCGAGCTGGGTACATCTGTGAGCTGTACTTCCTGCGGTACAATGCTGTTGGCTAGTCTCTCTCATATGATGCCTCCATTAGCCAGAATGCAGACTAACTACATGCTAGTCTCTGTGAGATCTACTCCCATTCTTTGTTTCTAGCTGACTCCAGGTGGTCTAGCCCCGATGGCACTCCTAATGTTTCCTGTGGTATAAGACAAGGATGAGCCTCCTGTGAAGGGTCCTAGAATGGTGGGCAAGCTGAATGTCCACCTCCAACTTTCTTTTCCCACTGTAGAAATTGTGGGTCTGGTGAAATCCTCTGTGTGTCGTGCTGTGCCAGCTTGGTGGAGGGGTGACATGCTCAAAATGAACTGTTCCTCTTACCCTTCAAAGCACAGCTTTTCTTAGTTCTGCAGTACAATTGGGTGTCTCAGTCTCACTCCTGAGTTCTGGGATATTCAGAAAGGTATTCTTGCCTGTGGATAGTTGCTAGTTGGATTTCCGTGTGGGGGTGTGGAGCTGGAGAAATTCTATTCTGCCACCTTGTGAAGTCATTCTCTGGAATAATTTTAGATTTACATAGAGTTGCAAAGATGGTAAAGACAGTTCCAATACACTCTTCACTTAGTTTCTTCTGATGTTAACCTCTTACGTTACCATGGCACATTTATTAAAAACGAGAAATTAACATTGTACAATACTATTACCTAAATGACAGGCTATATTTAACCAGTTTTTCATTTTTGAGAGGAAGTCTCACTCTAATGCCTAGGCTGGAGTGCAGTGGTGCGATCTTGGCTCACTGTAACCTCAACCTCCTGGTTTCAAGTGATTTTCATTCCTCAGCCACCCGAGCAGCTGGGATTACAGGTGCCCAACACCACATCCGGCTAATTTTTGTATTTTTAGTAGAGATGGGATTTCACCACGCTGGCCAGGCTGGTCTCAGACTCCTGACCTCAGGTGATCCACCTGCCTTGCCTCCCAAAGTGCTGGGATTACAGGAGTGAGCCACCGTGCCCGGCCCACATTTCACCAGTTTGTTTTTGTTTATGTTTTTGTTTTTGTTTTTGTTTTTAACTAATTTCTTCTCTTTGTTCCCAGGTACCATCCAGGATCTCATATTGTGTTTAGTCTTCATGTCTCCTTAGTCTACTTCAATTAGGGACAATCTCTCTGTCTTTCCTGGCTTTGACACCTTGAAGACCACTGACCAGATATTTTTTTAGAATGTGCATCAAATGATTTGAGTTCATCTGATGTTTTCTCTTGATTAAAGTGGGGTTGTAAATTTTGAGGAAGAATTTCACATAGCTGAAGTGACCTTCCCATTGTGTCACGGTGGTGTGAGGTAGCCATATGACTTTTCATTGTTGATGTTAACCTTGATTACTTGGCTGTGTTGGTGACTTGATGGTTTCTTCCACTACAAAACTACAGTTTTTACTTTTCCATATTCCATTTCTTAAAAGTCAGTCATTAAGACCAACCTGCAAGACTGGGCACAGTGGCTCATGTCTGTAATTCCAGGACTTTGAGAGACCAAGGTGGGCAGATTGCTTGAGCCCAGAAGTTCAAAACCAGCCTGGGCAACATGGTGAAACCCCATCTTTACAAAAGTTACAAAAATTAGCCAGGTGTGGTGGAGTGCACCTGTAGTCTCAGCAATGTGGGAGGCTGAGGTGGGAGGATCACTTGAGTCTGGGATGTTGGGGTTGCAGTGAGCTGTGATTGTGCCAATGCACTTCGGCCTGGATGACAGAGGAAGACCTTATCTCAAAAACGAAAACCCAAACCACAAAAACAAGACTAACTTGCAAGCCACATGAGGGGAATTCAACTTCACCTTAATTCAAAGACACCAGAGTAATTAACAAATATTTAAAGAATTTTTCAATGGTTATAGAATTCTGGATTGATAGGTTTTTAAAAATTCTTTTATGACTTCAAAAGTGTCACTTCGTTTCTTGCTTGCATGGTTTCTGATATGAAGTCAGCTCCCATTCTTAACCTTGTTTCTTGTTTGATAATGCCTTTTTTCCTCTAGCTTCCTCAAGATGTTTCTCTTTTGAGAAAAATGAGAGATTTTCAGTTTTTGTGTTGATTTCTCTTTGTCTCTGGTTTTCAGCAATTTGAACACATTCCATATCATTTTAAGAGTTCTTCATCGGGGGTCACTGGACACATTTGTCACAATTAACAAAGGGGAACACATTCTCCAAATGTGTTCTGTTTCCCCAGGAAGCCAGCTGGAAATACAACAAAATGCCTCTCCCTCTCCTTTAGCAAAACACGTGTCAGAGCAATGCAAGATTTGATTGGGACTGCTTTGCTTCGTTAACTATTACAGTGAGCTGTTTTTCTTTCTAGTAACAACCCAGTAATAGTTATTAAATTATTTGGAGCTAAATAAGTGTAATGGTAATTTTCATTTAAATTTTGCTATATGGTAGCTTACAGCATCTTACCTGTACACAGTTCCAAACGCAGAAAACCTAAATGAAATTAACATATATGTATCGTTACAGGTTCTCAAAACCATCATAAATGGCTCTATTTTACATCTCTGAGCTCTTCTATGATGTTTCCTTTAACTATGTCACAAGACCTAAGACTATGGTTTGAAATATATACCTACTATAAAAAAGTAAGCCTTCCTGCTAGTGTCAATAGATAAAAACAAAACAGACAAAACGACAACCAAAAATGCCCAGAAATCCTTTTTTTTTTTTTTTTTTGAGATGGAGTCTCACTCTGCCAGCCAGGCTGGAGTGCAGTGGCATGATCTCAGCTCACTGCAACCTCCGCCTCCCAGGTTCAAGCAGTTCTCCTACCTCAGCCTCCTGAGTAGCTGGGACTACAAGTGCCCACCACCATGCCTGGCTATTTTTTGTGTGTATTTTTATAGATACAGGGTTTCACTGTGTTAGCCAGGATGGTCTCGATCTCCTGATCTCGTGATCTTCCTGCCTCGGCCTCCCAAAGTGCTGGAAACCCTATTTTTAAATGCATATTTGCATTCCTAATAACCCGTGAATACATACATCTATTGATCTATGTATTCATGCATCTCTATATGTAAATGTCTGTCCAAAATGCCACTATATATATATTTATATGTTAAACTTTATTTTAAGTTTGGGTTACATGGGCAGGTTTGTTATATAGGTAAACGCGTGTCATAGGGGTTTGTTGTACAGATTATGTCATCACTCAGGTATTAAGCCTAGTAACCAATTGTTATTTTTTGTACCCCTTTCCCTCCTCCCACCCTCCAATCTCAGGTAGGCCCCAGTGTGTGTCTTTCCCCTCTATGTATCCATGTGTTCTCATCATTTAACTCCCACTTGTAGGTGAGAAGATGCGGTATTTTGTTTTCAGTTCCTCTGTTAGTTTGCTAAGGATAATGGCCTCCAGCTTCATCATGTTCCTGAAAAGGACATGATCTCATTCTTTTTTATAGTTGCATAGTATTCTACTATTCCACGGTGTATATATACCACAATATGTTAAATTTTAGTTTATTACAACTTATATGCAACATACAATGGCAAGATGAATCAGATCAGAAGATAAACAATTGAGTGTGAAAAGACAGCAGATTTTTCCTGTTTTATTCTCTGCAGATGTAATTTTCAACGAGAATACATTTTATTGTATTAGTAGTGCTTTTAGAAGAGACATCTATATGATGCCCAGGCTGGTCTTGAACTCCTGGTCTTAAGCGATGCTCCCTCCTAAGCTTCCCAAAGTGGTAAATTGTACTTCCTGAGGGCATAGAAAAGAGACATAGAAGCAAGTGAAATTGGTATTACCCTTTTTTCTGTTATTCTTTATTAGTAAAACAAATTAGGTTTTTCTTTCCTTGGTTTTCATGTGTCCAAGCTCCTTTCTCTTTCATTTCACATGTGCACAAATATAATAGCATACTTTTGAACATCAAAAGTTGAATGATGAAAGATCATTCGTTAGCCCAAATCAACCTGCACATGACTTTTTTTTTATTCCTCTGAGAGTTAGCCTGTGGAAAGGTGGCAGGGTTTCACTGCATTATCCCCTGCAGATGGAAAGGTCAATGACAACATGTGTAATTGCTTCAGTCCTGATTTTCTACCTACACTTACTGCTGTGGGGTTGTTTCACCTGACCAAGGCAGTTTCTGTGGCAGCAGGTCTTAGCTCTCTCGACCAGGTCCACTGACAAAGCCACTTTGCTGAGTGGCCAATTTACTGATGACTATTTTGTTAAATTTGTTTCTGCTAACTATTTAAGGTTTACTAATTTTCTTGTGTCATAGTCTCAGCAAATGTGAAGGGATGGCTGGTCTATCTCTGACCTGGCTTTCTGCTTTGACAGATGGAAGCTAAAAGAAAAAAGGAAAAACTGATGGTGCAAAAGATAAACATATTTATATGAGTTTATTCTTGAATAAAATGATTTATTTTTAAAATATATTCTTGATATGATTTGGCTGTGTCCCCACCCAAATCTCATCTTAACTTGTAGTTCCCATAATCCCCATGTGTTGTGGGAAGGACCCAGTGGGAGGTAATTGAATCATGGGGGCGGTTACTTCCATGCTGCTGTTCTCATAATAGTGAGTGAGTTCTCACGAGAACTGATGGTTTTATAAGGGGCTTTTCCCCCGTTTGCTCAGCACTTCTCCTTTCTGCCATCATGTGAAGGAGGACATGTTTGCTTCCCCTTCTGCCATGATTTTAAGTTTCCTGAGGCCTCCCCAGCCATGCTGAACTGTGAGTCAATTAAACCTCCCTTTTACAAATTACCCAGTCTCGGGTATGCCTTTATTAGCAGCGTGAGAACGGACTAATACAATTCTTCCGATGAATATATTCTTCTCATTGATAAATGCTTGATGTAAATGCTTAATTTTTCCTCTAGCTGCCTTCGAGATTTTTCTCATTGTCTGTGGTTTTCAGCAGTTCGGATACCTTACATATCGTTTTTATGAATCTTCCACAGAGATCAGTGGACACATGTGGCACAAAGAACATGTGAATTAAGAACGCACTCCTGAATAACATATTTTACATATATGTTATTGAGTATATTCTTAAATATAAATAATTTCTTGTGAATATATTTGGATTAATAAAAATATATTAATAAATATTAACTCATGCATATTCTTCTTACTCAAAAATATGTTCTTATAAATATATTAATTACTCCCTCTCTCTTCCCCCTAGTCTCCAAAGGTAACATCAGGGGCCAGAACAGAGACACAGAAATGTTCCTTAAAATGTCAAAATGAAATATTATCTATTAAAACAGAAGAATTAAAATAAACAAGAGAAGTTAGGTATTGGTCATCTGATGTTTGTAACCTCCAGCTTTCCCAGGAAACTTGGTTGGACCCTTTTCTTGTGTTCAGCTGTCAGAAGCTAAATGTTCCCTTCCTCTCTCTCTTTGCAGTCTGTTCGTGACATTTGGTATTCCTAATATGCCCACTTGGAGGAAATTGCCAGCTTAGGCCAACCAGGGTGAAATGCATGCGCTTATAAACTCATAAGCCCAATAATAATTTTCAGAAGGAGGCACTCATTCACTTCGGCTTATAAACTTACAAATCTGTAGATTCATTAGTCTATCACTTACATGGAAAGACAAAATTTATATTTAATTGTTGAGACTTGACTTGAAAATTTTCAAGAATATCAACATTTGTTTTTGTTGTGCACCTCTCTGTCAAAAGATAAATACGTAGTACAGAATCATTATTTATTTATTAATAATATACTCTGCATGGTCTTACATTTCATAGTTCATGCATTGTTTATTCATTAATATAACCTGTTAACGTTAATATGCACCACATTACCAAGAGCCCTTGTCAACTCCTCAGAAGCCACTAACTCCCAAGGTAACTATGACAACAAATCTCTTAATGCTTAAAGTGTAACAAAAAGATTGTGTGATTTGGATGTTAATTCAAATATTTCCCATACAACCCCATACAGCCACTTTGGAAGGGAAGTGGTTTCTCACAAAACTAAGTATACTGTCACTATAAGATCCAGTAATTGTGTCTTGGCATTTAACCACAGGCATGGAAAACTGAGGTCAACACAAAAATCTGCACATTGATGTTTATAGGAGTTTTATTCATAATTGCCCAAAGGTGGAAGCAACTTCAGTAAGTGAATGGATAAACAAACTCTGGTACACTCATACAATAGAATGTTATTAAGTGATAAAAAGGTACACACTATTTAACTATGAGAAGACATGGAAAAAAAAAAAAAAAACCTTAAAAGCCCATCGCTAAGTGAAAGAAGCCGATCTGAAAAGACTACATACTGTGTAAGCCGAACTATATGACATTCTTTAAAAGGCAGAACGATGAAGACAATGAAAAGTACAGTTGTTGCCAGGGATTTGCAGGGAGAAGGAGGGATCAATAGGTGGAGCACAGGGGACTTTTAAGGCAGTGAAACCATTCTGTAAAATGTCATGGTGGATATATGACATTACACATTTTCCAAACCCATAGAATATACAACACAAACAGTGCACCTTAATGAAACTGTTAATTTTAGTTAATAATAATAATGTATCAATATTGGCTCATTAATTGTAACAAATACACCAGACGAATGCAAGATATCTTAATAATAGGCATGATGAGCTAAGGAGGGTTTAAGGAACTCTCTGTATTGTCTGCTCAATTTTCTTGTAAATGTAAAACTGCCTCCCAAAATAATGTCTTTTTATTAAAGGAAAACATGCTGCTACCACTATGTGCTTAGTGTCCTATGCATTTCAAGTCTGGGTGGTATGTCTAGCAGAAATATATTAACATGTCCCAGGCTGATGGTACTGAATAAAGGATTTAGATGGCCATAAAAAGTGGATTTTGTATAATGGATTTCTGAGTTGATAAGAAAGCAGTATGAGTATATCACCATAATACAAAACTTAGTGATTTGAAATAAGGCAAACATATCATCCATTTTGCCAGTGTAATGATAACACACACGTTGTATAAACAGATATTGGAACATCAGTTTGTCACTGGGTGTTCAGGATGTAGAATATACATCAACTTAAATTTTCACATTTAGTAAAGCTCTAGCTTCCTCTTATGCTAGCTCCATAAATAAGACAAATTTTTTCTCTCATCCTCTCTGATGGCCAATGCCGGCCTAAACTCTTGCCTGTTAGGAATTAGTACACATCTCCTAGCTCAGAGACACCTACACGAGTGACTCTTGGCCAGTGGAACCTGGTTCACTGTGCCCTCCAGTGTGGGGCCAGGCATTGTTCGTGATCTGCCCGTCTCGGCCTCTCAAAGTGTTGGGATTACAGGCGTGAGCCACCGCGTCCGGCCCCATCTGTTATTATTCAAGGTATTTTAGTGCATCACCGCACACACGATTTTGGGTCTTGCCATTATTTTGTTATCCCAGTACTTGAAAAAGAGAGACATTCTGACTGGCATTAACTCAACATTTTGTGTGATGGACTATTACATATGGCTCGGAACGCATTTTTGTTTGCTATATAGAAATGATCTTCTCTTCCGTGTGATAAATAATACAGCTAAAAGTCTCAGAATTAATCAAACTTACCATCAATTAATTTCAAATTTTTGACTAGCTTCCTTAAGTATTTAAATTATTATGATTTGCAAAATAACCTTGAAAGTCATTCAGTCAAAATGGCTTTGAAATAAAATCATCATATGTTAAAGTAAGAAATTATATCCTACATAATAAGGACAATAGATACATTAAAATAGTCTCATCAAGTATTTGTCTTTAGTTAGTAGTTATTTCTCCAAGAAAGTATTAACTTCAATTTTGAACAAAGTTTTCTTTCTTTTTCTGGCAGTATCAGCCTTTTGCCAAGCTGAACACAAGAGGATGAAAAGAAAATCTGGGCTCGAATGTGCAATTTCATATTTTCTGTTAAGGCAATTTACAACATATCATAAAGCTGCATTAATAAACAGATGTTCCACAGTCTGCAGAATATAAAATAAATGTCTTGAATAAGCTACGAAGACCAAGGCACTTTTTGGAGCAGATTTTTTTGTCTTAAAGTTTTATCTCATGCAAACACTGCATATAATATGAACTTATATAATCAATGCTTTTAGCAATATGTCATAGTAGAACTGAGGCCCAGTTGTTAGCTGAAATCTATATAAATATAGGTATGTAGAATAGTTAGGAAATATAAATATTAGCATATGCTCTTTATTGTTGATGATATCAATAATTCTTTCATGAACTCAGAAAAGTTTTTTCTCTTTATATTCAAAATGAAGTTTTCTAATTACTCTCTTTTTCACAGGGTTCTCCCCCTCTGCAAATTATACCCATTACAGCTATTTCTTTTAAGTAAATATCTCCTTCAAGTCAGTCTTAGTTTCTCCAACACCTAGACAATGCCTGGCACATGTAAAGGCATTCAGAATACAAGTAAATGCATGCATAAAATGAATAAATATATTTAGAAGATATTTATAGACATGTCATAGGAATTTGGGGGCCAAGAAGAGGGATTCTAGCTTTTGGGTAGATACAATTGCAGATAATAACAATAACTTACAAGGTGCCTAAAATATCAAGTTACCGTTCTAAATGTGTTAGATCTATTGGTTCATATAGTGCTTGCAAAAGCCCTTGAAGTATACTTTTATTATACTTACCATTATATAAATAGAGAAACTAAGGCAGGGAGAGGTTATGTTGTTCCAGGTTCACGTGACAATTCAATGGCAGAGCTTGATTCAAATTTCATACTTTTAACTTACGTACAATTTTGCCTACCATCAAGACATTCTTCTTGCTGAATGGAACAAGGCCCTCAAAGGGAATTTATGGAGTACTGTTACACATAAATAACTCTGAATATAAGTAATTCTTCTGTGGAATGATTTCATCTTATATTCTCAGAGAATGACACATTTTATGTCAAATAAATACAGGAGAAAGAAAATGATTTTATAAATGTTACTAACACTATCCTAACAAATGGAAGAGATATGATAAACTTTACATTCTAATTTGAAATTTATGAAAATCATACACAAAACACTGTTTTGAGTAGACTCTATCTCTTATTTTTGTGAGGCCAAAATATCTAATACATTTATTTTATGAAATAAATACTTAGGAATTATTTTATTTGTTGTTGTAAGGAATTATGCCTGCTGAAATGGACAAAGCATTGTGATTAGTGTTGGGTGTTTTGGCTCAGACTAACCTAAAGGGAACAAAGAGGAACAACCAGATGGTGAAATGGAGGTTCCTCCATCCTCTGATAGCTTCACTACCATTGCATTTTAGTAAATCCTTAAATCATATACTATGATTATGACAACTTAATTTTTTTTTGTAATTGATGATGGAGTTGATAAGTTCTTGTATACCGTTGCTTGTTAGATCAGGAGAGACTCAGGACAGACATCAGGAAGAATTTTCTAGCTGGGGTGTTGTTAATCACTTGCCCACAGTAAAAAAAGCCTGCAGAACAGTCTTTTTTTGATGAGAGTTAAGGCAATAAGACAATTAATAGTCTAACCCAGTAACAGCTGAATTGGCCAGATATCCTTTAAGGCTTCTCAGAAGCCTCCTCAGCACATGAACTTGAGCTCTTACATAATTTTCTCATTCATAGTGACTGCATTGTGCTTGCAATCTCATGTCCTATTATTTAAGGTACTTAGTGCATCACTGCATACATGACCTTAGGTCTTGCCATTATTTTGTAATCCCTGTACTGGAAGAAGAGAGACATTCTGACTGGCATTAACTCAACATTTTGTGTGATGAACTATTACATGTGGTTCAGAATGCATTTTTGTCTGCTATACAGAAATGATCTGTTAATTCTATGTGATAAACAATACTGCTAAAAATCTCAGAATTAATCAAACTTACCATCAATTAATTTCAAATGTTCACTAATTATTAGCGAGAGAGGAGTGTTGAATTATCTAATCATAATTGTACATTTGTTTATTTCTTCTTTTAGTTCAATTAATGTTTGCCTTTTGCCAAATTTGGGTAATTTTTCCTGTTAGGTTTTCAAAATTTTTTCAGCACTGCACTCCTTTTCCTTTTCTCCTTCTGAGACTCAGATGACATGTATGTTGGAACTTTAGTTATTGTTCCTCAAGTCTCTAAGTCTCTAATCAAGACTTTTTCATCTTTCTTTCTCTCTATTGTTCAGATTAGATAATTTCTGTTGATTTATAGTCGTGATAACAGATCCTTACCTCTTTAGTTTTATTGTAATAAAAAGCTTACTTAGAATTTTGTATGTCAGTTATTGGATTTTTTGGTCCTAATATATTCATTTTGTTCCTTTTTACATCTTCTATTTATTTTCTGATACTTCTAGTTTTCCATTGGTATAAAAGTGTTTGCGGCCGGGCATGGTGGCTCACGTCTGTAATCCCGGCACTTTGGGAGGCCGAGGAGGGCAGATCATGGGGTCAAGAGATCGAGACCATCTTGGCCAACATGGTGAAACCCCTTCTCTACTAAAAATACAGAAATTAGCTGGACGTGGTGGCGCATGCCTGTAGTTCTAGCTACTTGGGAGGCTGAGGCAGGAGAATCGTTTGAACCCGGGAGGCCGAGGTTGCAGTGAGCCTAGATTGCGCCACTGCACTGTAGCCTGGGTGACAGAGTGAGACGCGGTCTCAAGAAAAAAAAAAAGTGTTTGCGACCACTTGTTGGAACATTTTTATAAAAGCTGCTTTAAAATCCTTGTGATGTAATTCAAATTTATTTTTCTTCTCAGTATTGGTAGCTACTTAGTACTGACTGTCTTTTCTCATGTGGGGTGCAGTTTATCTGTTTTTTTTTGTAATTTTGGATTGTGTCATGGACATTAGGTTTTGAGGCTCTGGGTCTTCATAAAATATTAGGCGGATTGATACTATTTTTGTTTTAGAAGCAATTGACCTTGTCATATTCAAGCTGCAAGTTCCAATCTCTGTTTTGTGAGCTGTGGTTCCAACAATCAGTTGAGTTTTCAAAGCCTTTCCAGTTTGCTTCAGATATGTCCTGGTGGTCAGTGTGGAACTCGGATGATAATCTGCTAGCTTCGTTCTCAAAATCTTTGGTTAACTAATTAGGAGCAGATCCACACACATGCAGCTTGGGGATGCGCTCAGTCCATTAAAAACTTTATGGTGTCACTTTCTCATACTCCTTCCTCTCCACAGTGTCTCCAATATTTTCTGGTTCCCTGGAGCTCCTCTTTTCTGTTTTCTGGCCAGAATGCTGGGTCTTTGATTACGGTACTCTGCTACAGTGTTTCATGGCTGCACCCATGTTTGGAGCCAGGTGACAGGTGGCAAAATGAGAAAAGACTTCAAAAAGTTTGCATCACCCTCTTGGGATCATAACTGCACCAACTGGAGAGGAAGATGCCCTGGCCTCAGGGTTTTGTTTCTCCTAGGCACCACCTGCTGCTGCCACCACAGGAATTCTTGGGGGCCAGATCACAAGGGCTCAGAGAAAACAAACAACAACAAAACGGAGGGATTTCTGCATTCCCTCAGAGTAATAAGAGTCCTCTTTCCTGCCCAAACTTGTAGGGCTTATCCTTGATCTCAGCAATTGCTGAGAAACTGTTTCACCCTTTACATGGAAAACAGACTTTCTTGTTTGCCTCATCCCTACCAGTGTCTTTCTGCCTACACCTAAGTTCAATTACCAGCTGCCCTTTATCATTGAACTTAATGCTTTCTTCTCATAGTAGAATTAAGAGGAAAGTAAAATATTTTTTGTACCTATATCTTTATTATATTTAGACAAATCACAGAGTGAGAGAGTAGGGGTTTCAAGAAAAATAGGAGAGAGACAAAGGAGAGAGAAAGAACTGCTTGTGGAAATACAGAATATCCCACATTTTCAATGTGGAAAGTGTATGAGGGTCTGAAAGAAAATACTCAGTTTTTTTTTGTCCTGTAAGAGGCAGCATTGACAAATGTGTACCAGAGTTTGGGTACATTTGAGCCAGTTCTTCAGAATCGTGGGGTGGGTAATAGAACAAAATTATTTACACCTAATTCTAGGCAGATAAGTGTGCTTCAAGGAAAGGCAAGGGCCTGGCTAGATTCTAGATGTTTTTAAACTGGAGGCCAGAGACAGCTTTAGGGAGTCTATATACAGGCACAGATTTATTTCTTTTATATTCTTCTTGCTCTTTGAAAACGGTCTTTATGCAAATACACACTATATAACCAAAGTTTCTCTTTGTTCCAGGCAGCAGTAGGGCTTATGGGAGCCATTGTACAGTGACAGGAACATACCAGGACACTAAGAATAGCGTCATGTCATAAGGACTCAGAGCAGGTGGACCCTGCTGTGATGCACAAAGGTGAGGGTGCAGCTGCCCAGGACACACTCATGCATGTTTGTGTGGACCATGGAAGATGGCAGGGGAAGAGCTGTCAGGTTGCTGGGGCAGAGGGTGCGCATGAGTACTCGCCTGTAAGTCATGTTGTAGAATCACCTCTCACAGCCGCTGTATCTTCCCACCAGCATCACCAGATAACTCCTTTATCGTCACTTCAGTAATGCTTGATTTTGTCTGACTTTTTTATGTTTACCAGTTCAGATAAAGAGAATTGCACTCTCATCATTGCTATAATGTACACTTTTTTGACTACTAATGAGTCTGAGAATCTTTAGATACATTTGTTAGTCATTAATGTTTTTTCTCTCTCTTTTTTTCTGTTTTTTGAGATGGAGTCTTACTCTGTCGCCAGGCTGGAGTGCAGTGGCATGATCTCGGCTCACTGCAACCTCTGCCTCCTGGGTTTAAGTGATTCTCCTGCCTCAGCCTCCCGAGTAGCTGGGGCTACAGGTGCCCCCCACCACACCCAGCTAATTTTTGTATGTTTAGTAGAGACGGGGTTTCACCATGTTGGCCAGGCTGGTCTCAAACTCCTGACCTCGTGATCCGTCTGCCTCGGCCTCCCAGAGTGCTGGGATTACAGGCGTGAGCCACCGCGCCCGGCCATGTTTTCTCTTCTTAATCTGTTTGTACTTTCATTTACTTTTTCTTTCTTTTTTAATAAGAGGTTTTTATTTTGGATATCAATCTTTATATCTTCAATGATGTTGTGAATATCTTTTTGTTCCCACTAGCTTTTCTTACAAACTTTTATTCCTAGTGTCTTGTTGCACAGAAATTTTATTTTATTATGGTCAATTTTGTCAGCCTTTGTCTTTATAATTTGTATGGGGTTCTTTTCTTGTTTGTTTTTGATTTGTATAAAAGTGATGTTTTTACCCTAAAGTCAAAAGTTAAAATTTAATGTTTTCTTCCTATTTCAGAGGACCATGCAAGATATGATAAAGATCTATGTCACTGAATTTTGTTTCTGTATTTGTATCTCAGCTTCCCAGAAATAAAAAAGAATTCTAACATTCATACTTTCAGTATTTTATGTGAGAGGTTTTGTTGTCAAAATCAAGTCTGAGAGCAATGTTTATTGGGGCCTTTCATTGGAGTCACCAAGCGATAAAGGGGACATTGTCTTCAACAATAACCCTATAATAAACACGTTTTGGACAATAAATATATGACAATTTCTTAAAAGCAATTTCTTGGGCAATCAAGACAATATGGCTTGAGTATGGAGTTATATGATGGTCTGGATTAATCCAGTATTAAATCTCGGGTTATTACAGAAATCAGTGGAGCCTATTCTTCCAAATAATCCTTAAATATTACTTATCTCAACTGAGATTTTGGTGAAAATTTAGCTTTAGAGCTTTTATTGACCTGCCAATGACCTGAAGTTAAGATTATTCTTTTCCACTGAATGAAGACAAACCACCTTATAAAAATTAACCCAGAAGGCTGTAGAGGTGATTTGTTTTCTTTATTTCTGATGACAGTTAAATAGCTTGACTAAAACTCTTGGTTCCCTAAATGGCTTTTCTGCTTTTGGATGGTGGTAGCCTGGGGAACGTAAGGAAAGCAGATATCTCCCAAAACTGGGAATAAAATACATGGTTTATTCCAATACATTCCAGGAAACCCCATTTCCAAGCTCTTTAAACTAAAACATTACTGTGAACATGTTGGCCTAAAATTTTTCAGAGCTAGAAATTTTCAGAGCAATAGCTGCCAGTTGCCACCATGATGTTAGGAAATTCTCATTAATTCTTACATGACGGTTGTCTACATAGAGATGAAACACTTGACTAAATTGTCAGCAGCACAATTGTATCCATACAGACAGATAGAACAAATCCAATGCTGTGATGTAGTTTAAATGTGCACATGTTAACTGATTAGAGAGCTAGAAAATGGAGGGTATTTTTAGCAGCATATGATAAATATATTTCTGACTGTTGAATATTGTTTAACTGCTTTGTTCTAGTTACTGGGGATTATATAGTAGGAAGTAATACAGACAGATGTCACGTCCTGATGGGGCTTGTATTTCAGGGAAGAAATGGGATTTTGTTGGCGCCAAGACCTGATTGCTTTGCCAGTTACCCTCACCCCTGGCTCACGAGGAAAGTGTATTAAGGAGATTCTCGAGGAACCACATGAGTTTTAATATCATAAGCTTCTGCCCTGAATTGAAAGGTAATTTTTTGTTAAGGAAGGCTGAGCCACACTTATCCACAATGCCTCCTTTGGCATAGACCCCAGATAACCCAAAGTGTGTTCTCTCAAACAGATGGAGAAAACTAGAGGATAGAAAATATCAAGAGTGTTACTGAGGATGCTGCCAGCTGAACCACCATTTATGTTTTTCATAGAACAAAACTTCAAGGAGTTTAAGTAGTCAGAGTGTGGCCAGCCTTTCCTTGGAAGTATTTATGCAAGGAAGATGTTTTATATTCTGGAAGAGGGCATATGTGAAGGGCATTTCAGAATGATGTAAGGTGTATGCACAGGTCATGTGATGGAGTGGTCTGGGGTAGCAGGACATGTGACAGGCCTCGAAGTTCGCCACTACAAGCATGGAGCCCATATCCACAACATCTTCAAGCGCAGAAGCTGGGCTGTGGGGTGGAGTAGTTCACGCCAAAAATCACAACTTCGTTTGGAAAATGAGAGGGAAGAGAAACTTCCCTAAAGAGAATTAGAAAAAGTAAAACTCGTGAGGTAAAGCTGTATAGATTTGAAATAATAAATCCTTACAATTTTTACTTCCACTGGTCGATGGCAGAGTTTCTTAATCTTAGCAGTGTTAACCTTTTGAGTCAGATAATTTTTAATTCTTCTTGCAGAGGAGAAGGGAGGGTACAGGCTGTTCTGTGCAAGATGGCATGCTTAGCAGCATCCATAGCCTGTACTCTCTAAGTGCCAGTAGCAACCCCCAGTTTTGACAACCCAAGATGTCTCCAGACATTTTCTTCCCTGGAGGCAAAAACAGCCCTGGTTGGGAAGCACTGGTTTATGAATAGAAATAAAACTGTAGTGTTCTCCAGCCAAACAAACAACAACAAAATTAAACAGCATATTTTCAATTTATTGCCTTCCTTGGCTAGTACATAGCTCACTATAATTAAAGCTTCCCATCAGAAATTCTTCCTCGGTTAAAAACAAAAAAAACTATCAAGAGAAGCAATTTAGTAAGCTGGGTTTTAGGAATATGCTGTTAATTTTGCCTAAAATGTGGCATGCAAGGGGAGAGTTATGTAATCATTTTAAGTAAGTAAGTGTTACATTAAAAAAAAAAAAACCCTTAAAATGGTTTGATTCAAAAATACTGAAATCTCTTATCATAGAAGCATAAATCTGAATAGTTTGGTTATTTAAATATAAGTTACTGTGAAATCATCAAGGAACATAGCTAATCGAACCTACCATTGTAGCCTACATCATCCTGTGCATTTCACAAAATCCTAATGAAAAACTACATGAAGCTCAAAGTATAGATAAACATATCAGTGTTGACAACCGTGAAACCACGCTATCCAAAGGCTACGAGCTCTGAGGAATTCCTGTTAGCTACAGCACATGTAGGATCAATGAAGGAAGAAAATGAAGGCTCCTGGGAGACAAAATTATGCCAGGACAAAGCTGAAGAAGAGCAACACCTGTCGGAAATGTCCTAAGATAAATTTCGAAAGCTGCCAGGCTTGGAGGTGGGGCAGGCACCGCCGGAAGAGACACCTTCCCTTTGGGGCTTTCTTTGCCTGTGACAAGAACAGCACCTGATGCCCTTAGAATAGTTCCTGGAACATCTGAATAAATATCTGCGAAATGGCTGAATCAGGGGCGGGGACTGGCGTTCAGGTGGGGGCCCCCTCAATAGTATGACCACAACGGAGGCTCCACCTGGCAGGGAGCTGCTGACTCCTGATGCTACAGGAGCTCGTCTTTGTATTAGGAGGTCCTGTTCTACTTCCAGTTGCAAATATTACATATATTTGTGTGTGTGAGTGCATATATATTAATATATATACACCACCGCCCAACAAGTTCCCCTTGCCCCCTGCCTAGACAGAGCTGATTTATCAAGACAGGGGAATTGCAATAGAGAAAGAGTCATTCTTGCACAGCCAGCTGGGCGGGAGACTGGAGTTTTATTATTGCTCAAATCAGTCTCCCCGAGCGTTTGGGATCAGAGTTTTTAAGGGTAATATGGCAGAGGCTCAGGAAGCGGGGAGTGCTGATTGGTCAGGTTGGAGATAGAATCACAGGGGGATCAAAGTGAGGTTTTCTTGCTGCCTTCTGTTCCTGGGTGGGATCGCAGAACTGGTTGAGCCACATTACCGGTTTGGGTGGTGTTGATGGCAGCGGCCCATCTGGAGAGGCTGCTGCCAAGATGCCGGCTGCAGCAGGGGAGGCGCCGCAGGGCGGCGCACTTTGTGGAGCCGGCGGGAGCCCTGGCCGCTTCTGAGCTGCTGGGGAGGGAGCCCTGCAGTCCCAGGCGCAAGGGCAGCTGCCCAGCCATGGCTTCGGACCCGGGCATCCCTGTCCTCTCGGGAGGGGGTTGGGGGCGGTGGGGAGGGGGTTGGGGGCGGTGGGGAGAGGGGGGTGCATGGGAAGCCTATATTAGACCGAATAAATATCATGATATATTTTGTGTATTTATTTTTTAACCCATACCAATCCAAGCTAGATTTTCTTACTGATTTAGTTACTTTGCTTGTTTATTAATCTCATTATGTAGAATATATTTTGGAAGTTGCCTTAATAGTTTTTAGAGGAAAACAGGTTAAAAATAAATAAATATGTAAAAGATGCCAGTTTTCCTTATATGTATATGTAATGGTGTAAAAAAAGCACTAAATAAAATGATCAGTATAGTGGCTAGGGAAATAATTAAAGTTAGGTTTTTGGGCCAGGCGAGGTGGCTCACGCCTGTAATCCCAGCACTGTGGGAGGCCGAGGCTGGTGGATCACCTGAGGTCAGGAGTTCAAGACCAGCCTGGCCAACATAGTGAAACCCCGTCTCTACTAAAAATACCAAAATTAGCTGGGTGTGGTGGCAGGTGCCTGTAATCCCAGCTACTCAGGAGGCTGAGGCAGGAGAATCGCTTGAACCTGGGAGGCAGAGGTTGCAGTGAGCAGAGATTGCACCATTGCACTCCAGCCTGGGTGACAGAACGAGACTCTGTCTCCAATAAATAAATAAATAAATAAATAAATAAATAAATAAATAAATAAAATAAAGTTAGGTTTTGAAGGAATTGAGATCATAAAAATGTATTTCAGAAAAGGATGCAGCAAATATCTTTTGAAAATGCAAGGGCAGAGGTATTTCTGGCAGAAGTAATGATATGAGACATTTACTACAATATCACTTCTACTTATGCTCCTGTAGTTTACTAAAGGCAATTATTGTTTCATTGGAAATGTAATTAATGATCATGACCCTCAGTACCACAGATTGGGAGCCACGAGGCTGGCCCTGGGCTGACTGTGGTTGGACTCACTCAGGAACCGGCTTGGCTGGTGTCTTTTAAATAACTGCTGCCAGCTACTGCCAGAAGTTGCAGGATGGGAGGAAGGGAAGCTGACTGGCCCAGCTGATCCATAAACAGCCCTTTAATAGCACTGCAGTTGCTTGTGATGCATGCCTGGGATTCTAGGTTTGTGTCTTTCTTTTGTGAGGGGTTTCTATCTCACCCTCAACTCTGTTCTTTGCATCGTTTGGGCTACACATCCCAGTGTGTTCCCATCTCCTGCCCTCTAGTCTGCTGAAGGTTTTGCATCCTGTTCTCAGCATGGACACGTATCTTCTCTTTTGTCCATCACATGGTCATTTCAATAGGATGTTGGTAGAATAGGAAGAAGATGCACATGTGTTTAACTAATCATTTTTAATTAGAAAGCCAGAGGTTGAATTAAAAAACAACTCATATTGAAACTGCATTTGAAATAATTATAACAGTGAGAAAATTATGGCAGTGGGGAAGATCTAATATAGCCAACTTCCCTCTTATATTTTACCTTCATGTTGCCTTAATTATTACCAGGCTTAGGATGGGCTAGCTTTGGGAGACATGTAGTTTACAGTTTAAATGATAATAGTCCTTCTCCAAAACTCAATCACCTTTATAAAGCTAATGAGAGACCACCAGGCTAGGAGGAGAAGAGCCTGAATTCGGCAAAGGGGTAGACATAAAAGACTGCCAGCCATTATTCCAGAGGTCACGAGATATGCAACTTTTCCAATTACTCCTGCAGATAACATCACTACTGTAGAACCCAAGATTGGCCTTTTGAGATAGCCTTTCAGATATTTTGCGTGTTTGGCACCAATTATGGTGCCTTCTGAACCCACCAACTGCTCATGTGGCCCCATGCAGAAGCAGAAGCCATTCAGCACAGAGCAGGATCTTTTCCCATGTTAAGATTGCACCCCCAAAACAATCAGCAGAAAGCAGCCATTGCCTAGCCACCCTCATCACTTCCCTCAAATTACCTTTGAAAGAACCCTAACCTACAAGCTTTTGATGAGTTTGATTTAATAACTCCACCTCCTGTGTGGTGTGGCTGGCTTCACATCAATTAAATTCTTCCTTTACTGCAATGCCCTGGTCTCTGTGAATTGATTTTTTTTGTGCAGCAGGCGGGAAGAACCCATCAGGAGGTTACAGTATGGTTGTTGAACTTTTCGATTTATGGAGTTTTAAAATATAATTACCAATATGTGTCTTCATAAAATACTTTTACACTATGACACTATACAATATTTTTATTAGATCTTATTTGTTATTCATGATTTTTCATCCTAATTTTTAAAACTATGATTTTTATTAGACTTTTATTTACAATTTTTATTATGAAAATTTTCAAACATACATGGAAGTAGAGACAAAAGTAATAAAACCCAATGTATTCCTTACACTCTACTTCAATAATTATAAATATATGGAGTAGTCTTAAAATTTCATATATATCCCTCCCACAAACACACACTCAAGCATAATTTTAGCACAAACCCCAGACATCATATTATATCATTTTAAAATATATAGCTATGTATCTTTAAGGGAAAGGACTTTTAAAATACATGATAGTAGTACCATTAACACAACTAAATAAATTAACAGTAATTCCTTAATATCATCTAATGTTTGGTGTTCAGGTTTTCATGATTGTCTCACAGATCTCTTTTTCAGTGAGAATCCAAACAAGTCCACGCACACTGCATTTGGTTGACAGAGGTTTTTGACAGAGCAGGAGCATCGCCATCATGGACAAGTACCACCATTCTAAAGTTCCCCTTGATCCACCTAAAAACCACCTAAATCCAAAGGGCATCAGCCTAATGGCTAAGGTCAGCATGACCATAAACCACAAATGACATGTCCAACCAGAAACATTCCAACCATAGGATAAACCCCTCCCTGACCAGAGACATGCCAGCCCCCAGATAACCTCCCCTCCAGCTGGAGAGATGTCAGCCCCAAGAAAACCTCCCCTCTGACCATAGACATTCCAACCCCGCCATGAGCTTCTCCCCCATACAGAAACATTCCAAGCCTGTGATAAGCTCTCTCACCAATAAATACTCTTACTCTGGAAGAGAGAGTGTTCCTAACCGAAATCGGCCAGAAGCCCCTCTCAGGTTTATTCTCCAAAATAAACCTATCTTTGACTCTTAAGCCACTTTTCATGTTTCTTTCCTCTTTCTTTAACTTTAACAGTTTTAATTGATCACAATATCTTCTTCCCACCTGACTCCATGTATTTGCAGAAAAAACTAGGTCATTCGCCTGTAGAATTTCCCACATTTTGTGTTTGGCTTAGTGCAGCCTTATGGTATAATTTAACACATATAAACTGATAGTTAGAACAAGAGGTTGATTTAAGTTATTTTAGTTTTATATTCTTTTGGCAAGAATACTTCAAAGGTGGTGCAGTGTGCTTCCTATTGAATCATATTCAGAGGCATGTAATGTTGGATTTTCTTTCTCTTATCAGACTTCTTAATTTTAGTTGTTCCAGTACATAAAAATTAGTATGTTATCATGGTCTGTGATTACTAATCATTTAAGAGTTTATGGGGATGTAAGTTACTTGCTCCTGCTTTGCTGTCTGCCACGAGTAAAAGCCCCCTGAAGACTCCCCAGAAGCAGATGCTGCCATGCTTCCTGTACAGCCTGTGGAACGTCATTGAAATTATAAGACTATCATTCAAATGGAAGCATTACAGTTCTTTGGAAACATTATTATTTCAAAATGAAGGAGAATGATACAGATACACTGGCTGAGGTGTTTTGAGGTGCATTGAAATGTTCCAAGCTGTTACTTACCTTAACATGTTCTTGCGGTACCATGGCATGGATTAAAAGGAAATTTGGTAAGTGGCCTCCATTTAAACGACTTACTAGGGAAGCTATGTGAAATTATTTAAAAGGGTAAGGGGATCAAATAGTACTTAGCCTTCATGCAAAAGTTGTACAGAAGTCATATGGAAATGAAAAAAGGTTTTTTTGCCCTCCCCCTTGTGTATATCTTATGGGCAGTGGATGGAAGAAAATAAAATAACAAATGAAATGCGATGGTTGTTCTGAACAAGGGTCTCAACCATGTGCATTTATTGGCATAGGAAATAGTGACCAAGAAATGCAGCAGCTAAACTTGGAAGGAAAGAACTATTGCACAGCCAAAACATTGTACATATCTGATTTAGACAAGCAAAAGCACTTCATGTTGTCTGTAAAGGTGTTCTATGGCAACAGTGATGACATTGGTGTGTTCCTCAGCAAGTCGTCCAAACCTTCCAAAAAGAAGCAGTCATTGAAAAATGCTGACTTATGCATTGCCTCAGGAAGAAAGGTGGCTCTGTTTAATCGACTACTATCCCAGACAGTTAGTACCAGATACTTGCACGTAGAAAGAGGTAATTTTCATGCTAGTTCACAGCAATGGGGAGCATTTTACATTATTCTTGGATGATGATGGATCAGAAGGAGAAGAATTCACAGTCTGAGATGGCTACATTCATTATGGACAAACAGTCAAACTTGTGTGCTCAGTTACTGGCATGGCACTCCCAAGATTGATAATTAGGAAAGTTGATAAGCAGACCACATTATTGGATGCAGATGATCCTGTGTCACAACTCCATAAATGTGCATTTGACCTTGAGGATACAGAAAGAAAGTACTTATGCCTTTCTCAAGAAAGAATAATTCAATTTCAGGCCACTCCATGCCCAAAAGAACCAAATAAAGAGAAGATAAATGATGGTGCTTCCTGGGCAATCATTAGCACACATAAGGCGAAGCATACATTTTACGAGAGAGTGGGCCCTGTCCTTGCCCTGGTCATGCCTCCGCCTGTCGTAGAGAGCCTTAAGTTGAATGGCGGTGGGGACGAACCAATGCTTGAACTTACAGGACAGAATTTCACTCCAAATTTACAAGTGTGGTTTGGGGATGTAGAAGCTGAAGCTATGTACAGGTGTGGAGAGAGTATGCTCGTGTTGTCCCAGACGTTTCTGCATTCTGAGAAGGTTGGAGATAGGTCCAGCAACCAATACAGGTTTCAGTAACTTTGGTCCGAAATGATGGAATCATATATTCCACCAGCCTTACCTTTACCTACACACCAGAAGCAGGGCCGCGGCCACATTGCAGTGTAGCAGGTGCCATCCTTCAAGCCAGTTCAAGCCACGTGCCCCCTAATGAATTAAACACAAACAGCGACGGAAGTTACACAAACGCCAGCACAAATTCAACCAGTGTCACATCATCTACACCAACAGTGGTATCCTAACTACCGTCTTTTTGCTAAGACTTAAACGGACTTGAGTGCAGCAAAAAGTTGACAAAAAAGGAGAAAAAAATGAACAGTCTTTTGTGGTTTATTGGGAAAACTTTTCACACCAGGTGATACTATTCTAAAACCCCACTATCTATCTGCAAGTGCTGATTTGAAATGCAGAAGCCACAGTAAAACAAAAAAACATCAAAATGTAAAAACTTGGAAATTAATTTTTTCAGCTGTTTTGTTGGTTGGTTGGTTGGTTGGTTGGTTGGTTGGTTGGTTTTTGTTTGGTTTTGTTTAAGTGGGCAAGAAGTAAATAATGTGGCTGGAATACAAGTTGAACAAACTAGAAGACATAAATCTAACATAGTTTTTATGGACCAAGTAACTTGTATATTGTATAAGCTTTAGTAAAAGGTACATTTTCACATATTCACCATACCCTTTTTTATATCATGGTATTATAGTACATCTTGTCACCAAAGAGGTTGTTCTCTTCCCCACTCACCTTTGAGCTTTTGCTTTAAAATACATTCAGGTTCCAAGCCTGGCCATGCTTGCTTAATCTAATTATCATGTTCTTCCAAGTTTTTTTTTGGTCCGAGGCTAGAGCTTTTTTTTTTTTTCCAGCTGAAGTCTTACGACTTTTCGTGAGTCAAAATTGTTTGGATTTCAGCAAGTCAAATCTTGTGAAGGCCTACATTTTTTTTTAAGATTATGTGAAGTCTGTGCAAAAGCTTTAAAAAGCTGCCTCTGCCTTGCCTGCAACACATGCAATGTATGTTAACTTAGTCTCTCTTCGCAGACACTGTTGGTAGTTATTTCTGCATTTTCCTTTTTTTTAAAAAAAGTATTTCTAGTGGTTATCCAAGAGGTTCTAACATTCACATGCAATTTGGTGTGGCCATTTTGCCATAAATGAGTTAATAGCGCAGAACATGTTGATATTTGAAGTGTTCTCTCTCCTTTTCCCATAACGTAAATACATTATGTGTGTTCCAGGATTTGTTCAGGTTTTTCCCCGCTCCTGATCTTGTACATAACTTGTATTACGTGTAAGTTAAACATTTCATTTTGAACTTGGAATGTTCCCAGTGATTTCATCCAGCAGAGTATTTTCTGCCTTGTTGGCAAGTGACAAAAAATATCATGAGAAGCATCTGCTACCAGTTGGGAGATGGTGCCCTTATGGTAGAATGAGGAAGATCTCAGCAAAAGCATGTTTTATTAACTTTACTTTTTGGGGGTGTTGGAGGGGGTAGCCTAGGCCAGAACATCATTGTAATCTTAAAACATAAGATGCTTTTATTAGATGATCAACTAAAATAGCTGGAAGACAGTACTTTAGAAACAGATAGTTGTAAGATTATGAAATGCAAATGTAACTTGTGTTTTTATTTTTCTTTTCCCTGCCTTTTTTGTTTGTTTTCTCTTCTCCAGTACTGAGCATCTCCACAAATGTCTCCTAACTCAGAAAATGTTTCTTTTCCTTTCAGCTGAGATTTGGTTGCATTCAGGGTTGTACATTGGCCTTGCATGCGAAACTCGGCAGTTGTACCTTGCTTTCATTCCTGAACTTCGCTTAGCTTTTGTTCGGATTCTTCGAAATTGCAGCAGACTCTTTGGGCTACATTTAGTACAAGAACCACGTGCATAATATGATACGGCACAGTCTAGTAATACAATCATCCTTCTTAGAGTAAAAACTACCTCTAGATTGTGGTAAGCTTTTACTGTCCCATAAAACAGGAGCCACGGTAATTTATGAATGCAAAACTGTAACTTCCTACAGTGTTTCCATACAGAACATTGTCTTTCTGGTTTCCTGGGCTATTTTGAAAAAATTTTCATTAATAGACTTTTCAGAAATTATTATTAGTAGCATTTTTTTCCAGCTTTGCTGTTTTCATCACTCATTCTTTGCTCAGACTCCAGCATTCAGTACCGTGTTGGTCCAGATGTAGGTTTATATGCTCATTTTTAGCTTATTTCTTGTACCTTGCAGCACACTCTACGCACTCAGCCCTTAAGGGGTTTACTTTACAAACTGTGTGCCTGTAAGATGTATTAGCAATAAGATAGAAAATTGAGCAAGTTTATACCATAATTTTGTAGAAAAAAAGAATCTGCTCAATTCCATATTTCATCCATGAAAAACTTGCAATACGAGCAGTTTCAAGGAATAAGAAGAAAAAAAAAAGAGTTTATAGGTCGGCCAGGTCTGATGGCTCACGCTCGTAATCCCAGCACTTTGGGAGGCCGAGGCCAGCGGATCACTTGAGGTCAGTTCGAGACCAGCCTGGCTGACATGGTGGAACCCCTGTCTCTACTAAAAACAAAAACAAAAACAAAAATTAGCCAGGTGTGGTGGTGTGTGCCTGTAGTCCTAGCTACTCGAGAGCCTGAGGCATGAGAATTGCTTGAACCTGGGAGGTGGAGGTTGCAGTAAGCCGAACTTGTGCCACTGCACTCCAGCCTGGGTGACAGAGTGACACTCGGTCTCAAAAAAAAAAAAATTTTTATGGGTCATTTGTGGTTTATTTATTTCTGCAAAATGTCCATTCCCATCTTTAGCCCACTTTTAATTGGGTGATTTTTTTTAGTAAGAAAAACTTTATATATTAAACATTGATTTTTAAATTATTTACTATATCCAATCAACAGCTTTCTTTAAGAACTCTCTAATGCAAAATAGAAGAGTGGTAGAACCTGAGTACAAAAAGGAAAAAAATCTAATTAATTAAATGTATCTTTGATTAACAGAAAAATAATATAAGCTACAATAATATTGTTATTTCAGAATTCCCCAGTTACAAAGTAACAGTAAGAAGATGGTGATCTACAAAACTTTACTTGTGACATAATTCTAGTGTAGTTTATTTAAGAAATATAAAAGAAAATGATTGGATTACAAATAAGATTAATATAATGATACATCAGTATTATGAATATCTTTCTTACATAAATATTTTCTGAAGACATGGATAATAAAAAAGGTAGCACAATAAAATTATACAGGGACAACTTATTAAAATAAATAAACATGCTCAGTTCATTGTAATGAAATAAAATTTGTTTTCTGAAAACAAATGGAAAGAAAATAATAACCATGTTAGCCCAGAGAAAGGAATACACTTGAATTATAGATGAACAAGGGCATATACTGTATATGACTATCATGTAACCATGAAGAATAGGTCAAGATAAGGGAAAAGCAGCAGAAACATCAGTTCTCAGGCAGTGGTGCCTGAGATTATTACAGTGTGCCCAATTAGTTTATGTCACTTTTAAAAAGTCATTTAAATAAATGTATTTGTGGAAGAAAAAATATCTGAACATCAGGTATGGTCTGATCCACAATGATCCAACGATCTGTCATAACTCATTCTAGGAGTATTCTTATACAGTTTGCAAGAGAAATTACATGTGGAGCTACAGAGGAACATTTATCAAAATTCATAAAGCTATTTAACCTGAATGTTACGTAGTACATAGTGACCATCATACAATAGTAAAAATACAATATCTGATACTATTTTTACAAGCTATGACGTAAACAATTTAGGCTCTTTTTAAAAAAATAAAAGAAATTTGATTACAACTTTATTTCAAGCATTTTCAGTTAGACATAGGTTTATATATTTTCACTCAAAATGGCAAAGGACCTTCTGTAGGTAAAATATATTCTGTGTTTAAATGCTTGCATTCTGAAGTATGATTTGCCATGTACGACTTCAGGTAGGACAATGAAGCTGCTGTAGCAAAATCCTGGCTGATGATGAAGACTTGGACACTTTTCATCTTTCATGCAGCCATTCAATATTTTGTGTATTTACATGAAGGAGAAAAAAGGGGAGGATACAAAGAGAGCCAGTATTCTTTTTGGATGAAACAGCCTAATTCCAGAGAATGAGCTTTCCATTTTGAACTCAAAGACTGTGGTCCCCAAATTGAATTCTTACCAGTCCAAGGAGCTGCCTTTGGCCTGTGAGGCAACACTTGATGATGAAGTGAGCTAGGAAAGTGTTAACTGAACTACAGAGATGGCTGCGTGCAAAACAAGTTTCCAAACATGCTCAGGCCCACGCAGAGGTGAGGTGCAGCCAGAACTATTAGTTAAAAACAAATGCCCTCACGGATGCAGACATAGAGCTTGTAGGAAGTCACCGTTCTGGGGGCCTGGTTGTAGTTTCCAATACCTGCCTTCACCACTCTCTGACTCTTCTATTTTTCTGATTTGTTTAATTTGAGTCCAAGGATTTCATTAGCAACTTTCTGAAAATACAGGAAGACAGTCTCCTGTCTTGGCTGAGATAAAGTGGCTACTAAAACCATTTTCCTGGCAAAACCATAAGTGTTTTTCAGGTTTTACTGTTTCCATGTGCTCCAAATAAATTTTATTGCTCACCAAGGCAACCAGTAGCAAAGCTTCTGACTCTTCGCTCACTTTCTTCAGTACAATGTACCCATCTTTTTTTTTTTTTTTTTGAGATGGAGTCTCGCTGTCGCCCAGGCTGGAGTGCAGTGGCGCGATCTCGGCCCACTGCAAGCTCCGCCTCCCGGGGTTCACACCATTCTCCTGCCTCAGCCTCCCGAGTAGCTGGGACTACAGGCCCCCGCCACCACGCCCGGCTAATTTTTTTTTGTATTTTTAGTAGAGACAGGGTTTCACCGTGTTCGCCAGAATGGTCTCGATCTCCTGATCTCGTGATCCGCCCGCCTCGGCCTACCAAAGTGCTGGGATGACAGACATGAGCCACCGCGCCTGGCTGTACCAATCTTTTAAATTCTCCAAGCTTTGCTAATTTGTAACAAGAGGATTCTCTGTGGTCCATAGATAAATGCATCCACCTTCTTGCCGCGTATTGTACGCACCCCCTACATCCCATACTTGAAGAGTAACATTCAAGTTTCCTGGCAATGTTATCCCGCTCAAAAAATATGTATATATATTCATCACTATAGTTTAGTTTTATTGGTTCCCAAAAGTTTCTTGAGCAAAACTCATAGGTCTTCCAGGAGGTGCTGCTTCAAGCATGACAAATTTCAGTTGCCATTCTTGATTTCTTTCTTGGGGTCTGATGGAGTTCAGTGTGGTGCTCAGGCTAGCTCCCCAGGCAGAGGGAGAAGGAAAGGAGAGCGCCTCCGTAGGTGGGGAGAGAAGGAAGGGAGCAGGACCCTGCCCTGGGATCTGGGTGCCCTGGAGAGATCGGGGGAAACTAGTTGATGATACTTTTGTTAAATGAACCAGTACTTTCACATGCTTTTAAGTAAAAATGAAATTTAACTGGAAGGACCCAAATCAAACATGGTATCTCTTGAGTTATCTCTCACTATGGATGACAAAGGCTGTTGTCAAAGTCGATTTCACTCAATTAACTTGATGGACATTAAACAACCTGTATAAGCCCAGAAAATGAGGGTTCTGGGAGATCTGTTATTACAGAAATGCAGAGGTGTCCTAACTCGTGTCATGTGAAGGTGGCCATGATGCAGATAAGGACATGGCTATGAATGTGCAGGCTATAGTTTTCCCTGACCTGGGTCCGTGACCGTGCCTTGAGGGTGGAAGAAACACCAGAGCGCCCTCAGATAAGATGGCTGGAGGGCATGACAAAAACCATGAAAGTAAGACCAGACCGTGCATGCAAGATGAATGCTGGCATCTGGCTGAATAGAGGAATTTGAACAAACAAAATCATTTTTCTGCAAGCTCTTCACATAATTCTACTCCACCTGGAGCTTCATGACTGAAATGAGTGGTTATCTATATTCAGGTCTAGTCAGACGTGCTGATTAATTATAGTTGATCAGCATACATATATCATGCTTTCTTACATATTTAATCTATCCCATGTATACATAAGATTTTGTAGGATAAATTATTTATTAGCATTAAAGTGTAAAATTTGCTTGATAACTATAAAATGCCTTAAATACACTAGTATGAGTTTTAAAATTATACCAAAATGACCAATGTGAAGGGTAGTGTTACTATGCTGGGTATGTCCTGCCACTGCGTCCTTTAGGAGATTTCTATAGCATCACAATGAAGTCCACCTGTGTGTGAGAGAGAGGCTTGCGCTCACCTTCCTTACCAGCAATGCAAAAGTGCTCAGGGGACCCAGCTTGGTCTGAGTACAAAAACAAACCTAAGAGGCTTCAAAGCCAGCTCTCCTGTAGTATGTGCTCACATCCCTGAAAGAAAAGCAAGAAAATCCCAAACTCCAGATTTTCTAATATAAGCTCTAGTGAAATACTTACCTTTCTTGAGTCAAAGCAGAAGCAACTGCTAACTAGAAATGTCAGCCTGCTGCCTCAGAGAATTTCTATGGCTGTTCTGGGGTGAAGAGGGTGGAGTCTTTGGCTTTCTTACCACAGGTGATCAGGTAAGAAGGAACCACAGCATCCTCTATGAAGAAATGCTGTCCGAGGTGATATCTGGAATCCAAAGCTTTTCTAAAGGAGACCTGGGAGGGGACTCCACACCCATCAACCAATAGCAGCCCAGCCCAAAGGCTGCAAATTTGCTTCTTTCTGACACCCAGTGGAGAAACAATCACCAGCTCTTTTCCAGTGAGTCCAGCACTGTCTGCAATTGGATTTGCTTTAGTTGCAGGGATTGTAAGCCAGTTGATGTGTGTGTGTGTGTGTGTGTGTGTGTGTGTGTGTGTGTGTGTGTGTGTGAAGCTTGAGGCACCTGGTGTTAGTTTTTCTATCCAGTTGTATTAAAATTGGCATGAAATTTCTTATCTAGAATTTCAAGCCTCCAGCTGTGAGCCTTATTCAGCTATCATTGATTTCATCTCCAAAAAAGATAAAACCAGGAAATAGAATGTGTGTGAGAGAGTCCAAATGATTGTTTCTTTTACCCTTAACTAACTCCCTTTCCTTAGCCCCTCTCCTGCACCTACTGGTTTTCTGAGGTTTATTCCCGCAGTCTTTAGTAAAATAATTTTAAATGTGCGAATGGGGTGACCAGGTTAGAGACTCCCAGGGAAGAACCATGCTATGTATCCCACTAATAAGTTCTCCTTATGGAGCTAAAGTCTTTCACTGGAGCTGTTTCCAGTGTAACTTGATGTAGCATTTGGGATAGTCTCATCGTGGAGCACCACCACTATCCCAGTGGGCCGATACCTGTTTCTTCTAAGAGGACAATCAGGTAAGTTTTCCCAAAGCGCCTTTGGGAAATCGTGCCGTTCAGAGAGCTGCGTTGTGCTCATGCATCTAGAAGGTCTTGCTGTTCATGCACTGACTCTTCTAACTCCATGTCCTCCATTCCTGGGTGTTTGCCAGCAGGTTGGAATGATGGCTCACTGAAAACTGAAGATGACATGGAAGATGAAAAGGGAGATGAGAAAGTCCTGCCCATTAATGAGAGGAAGATGGGCACAATGCGGTGACCTCACAGGTCTCCAGGCCTCAGCTCAGCTCTGATGAAGAGGCTCATGTCATACAGTCTCTTCAGATGATCACAGAGAAAAACGTGGTGACAGAGAGGCAGATGTTTTACTGTTTCCACTTCTGGAACTTGTTGCAGGGTATGAAGAGGGTCAGCACCAGAGAAGATATAGAATATCATATCCGCAATAGATGAAGCCATCAAAGGATGGCTTCACTTCACCACCAGGCAGCACTGACCAACTTACGGCAATAAATCCCGCAGACCAGAATTACACCCATCAAATGCCTCACTCACCATATGTCAGCCCAGAAGACTCTTGCAGTGGTGAGCCAGTCTCTTTATCCACCAAGCCTGACCCAGCAGGCAGGAGAGGCCCAGTACCAAGATGATCATCCACAATAACCTGCACACTGCATCGAGGACGGAGGCCAGCCCTAACAGCCCGCGGCCCTCAGGAGGGAGAGGCAGTAAAGGGCTCCTTCTCTCTTTGTCCTGATGAATGGGCATTGCACTAGAAAGATGAACATTAGGAGCAGATTATCAGAGCCTTGGTCCAGCCACCATCTCCTCTATGATGACCCAGATGGGCAAACCTTCTGAAGGCAAAGGTCCAACCAACATCCTGGGTGGCTGGCATTTTCTGAATTTCTATAGCTCATCACAAAGTGCAGCAAGAATGGGAGTATTTGGTGCACTTTGATTTTGCAGTTGCCTCTGATGGCCAAGAGACTTAGGGCCAAAGATTTCTCCCGACCCACGATCCAGGTCATATTTCTGCGGCACAGCTGTGACCCTCATCCCAACTACAGCCACTGGCACAATATCCAGTAATATTTGCAAATGATTATGCTAACATCAGGTTATAAAAGCTTGTTGTTTTTAATTTGAGTTATATTTTTAAAATACAAAATGTCTTGTTTTTTATGTTTGTGTTCATGTGGTACATTTTCCAGGATAAGATGGGCTGTGCAGTAATGGCAAATAAACCCTCCAAGTCTCAGTGGCTGGCCTCCTCTAAGTTTATTTCTTGCTCACAGGGTCTGCCGTGAGACCAGAGATTCTACAGAGCAACTCCCCTTCCACCCCTGCCCAGGAAATAGAACATGTGCGTAACTGAGAGACAAATCATGTAGAAAAACAAGGTGATTTTCCTAGAGAAGGACTGAAGTGCTTTGCTAGTATTAGTCACTATGACAAAAAGTAGAGAAGAACTATTCTGTTTCTTTAATCATCTAAGAGACAGACCATTCACTTGGAGTGAAATATTTAAACTATTTCTTCATCTCTTGAATTAAAAGACCTTAATAATATGAATTCATAATTCGAATATAGATAATAAACCCAGCACAGTTTGGCACAACAATTTTTATTTCCTCTTGAAATACCAAGGCTATTTTCTCATGTAAATTATATACGTATCTATATACATATTTTCAAGGACTGAAATTAATTTTAACATCTTTAAAACACCAAATAGTATCATATTTCCTGTAAAATGGCTGGTTACCTCAAAGGCAACATTTTAACATCCTTAGCTGCTTTAAAAGATTATCAGCAGTCTATAGTAAATATTACATGAGACATTTAAAGAATGGTGCTTCATTTCATCATTTAAAAATCTTAGTCAAGAAGAGACAAGAACAATTTCTTAGAATCAAAGCTCCTTCATTGGGAAATCATTCATCTTGGAAAAAGCAGAAATATTTTGGCTAATAAAAAACATTTTATTACTAAATTAACATTGAAGAAGTTGTAAAAATCTCATTTTGCTTTAATTTGTTAAAGTCAAAGCCTTATATGCACCTTTGATTTTTATAAAATTTTAACTATTTGAAAATAAAGTATTAAGCATCAAAAGTAAATAGAAAAAATTAAAAATAAAATGAAAACCAATGAAATGGAACACAGACCAATAATAAAATCTGTGCTGCCAAAAGCTGATGCTTTGAAAAGATTATTAAAAACTGCAAAACACCTAGCAAAAGGAAAACATCACCAATATCAAGAATATAAAATGGGACATTATTATAGACCCTAGAGATACTACAAGGATTATAATAATATGTATGCTGAACAACTTTAAGGCAAGAAATTTGACAATTTAAATGAAAAGCATGAATTTCAATTTCTTATGGTATAGTTACTTGCAACTCTGGAGAGCCCACATAATTCATCTAGTAGCCATCTTCTAGCTTTGTGGGTTCTCTGTAAAAAAGAAACTGGAAGAGTCACAGTAAACAAACGACATATACTTTCCACCCTTACATGAGTAGAGAATAATCTGCTAGAGCAAATGGGCTGGGTGTGGTGGCTCACACCTATATTCCCAGCACTTTGGGAGTCTGAGGCGGGTGGATCACCTGAGGTCAGGAGTTCGAGATCAGCCTGTTCAATATGGTGAACCCCCATCTCTACGAAAAATACAAAAATTAGCCTGGCGTGGTGGCAGGCACCTGTAATCCCAGCTACTCGGGAGGCTGAGGCAGGAGAATTGCTTGAACCCAGGAGGCAGAAGTTGCAGTGAGCCGAGATGGACCCATTGCAATCCAGCCTGCAAAACAAGAGGGAAACTCTGTTTCAAAAGAAAGAAAAAAAGAAAAGAAAAGAGAAAAGAAAACAAAAAGAATCTCCAAATGCTCAAATAAACTCTATATAATTTAAATGTGTTTTAATTTTTCTCTTACTGTTAGGAAATTGATATTTTAAGAGAAAACAACTAGTCAGTGATTGTTTCCAGGAGAACTCCATTTTGTGGAAGCTCCTCTGAGACGCACCTAAACCCTTTAGGGGAGCTCCTGGGAGAGCCTGAGCTTCTCCTGATTCAGGTCCCCTTTGTGTGTTCACTAAGAGTCTTCTCTTTGCCGAGTTTTGTAACAAGGTTGTTGAAAATGGAAGAGTATTTTCAGCCGTGAGCTTACTTTGCTACATTCAGCTTTCTTTAGAGTTTCAGGAAGTTCGTAATTGTCTTATAATGAACAAGAACTTTCCTATAAGAAGAACTACAAAGCATGCCATTCAGAAAATAGGTAATAGACATTAATCTCAGGAATACTAAATATTTTAGGAAGTCTCTAGGTTCAGAAAAACCCAGGAGCCCTGTGGACTGAATGCCAACCTCCCCTCCCTCCCCCCTGCCCCCCCGACCCCCAACCCCTCTCACCTCCGCAGTGAGCTCCCTGCTTTCAGGCTCAACCTTCTAAAGTTCTCTTTCCTGGCTGGATGAGTCTCCCATGAAGCCTCTTCCATCTCTCCACTGCTCAGAGCTCTCCAGAACTCACACTGTGAGATCTCCAGAACTCACATTGTGATTTAAATCCAGGGTTTACTTACTAGTCTTTACTTACTAGTCAAAGCCCCACATGCTTGCCCTGAAATCCCTCTAGTTATTTAGTGTTGGAAACTCACCACTAGGACCATTATTTTGCTCTTAGATCTATTTTTGGGGGAAATGCCTAATGTCAGGATTTTTTTTTTTTTTGAAACAGAGTCTCGCTCAGTCACCAGGCTGGAGTGCAGTGGCGCGATCTCGGCTCACTGCAACCTTCACCTCCCGGGTTCAAGTGATTCTCCTGCCTCAGCCTCCCGAGTAGCTAGGACTACAGGCACGTGCCACTATGCCCAACTAATTATTGTATTTTTAGTAGAGACGGGGTTTCACCATGTTGGCCAGGATGGTCTCGATTTCTTGACCTCGTGATCCGCCCGCTTCAGCCTCCCAAAGTGCTGGGATTATAGGCGTGAGCCCCTGTGCCAGACCAATGTCAGGATTTTTTGGCTTACCTTTACTGACCTGGTCTAATCCCCACAGATGAATATTTATTGATTTATTTATTTCTCTTTTTGGAGGAAGGAAGCCCTGTTGTCAGCATCCTAAAAGCTAGAAATGAGAAAAGCTGCGAATCTCAATTTTCAGTGTGTACTTTGTTTTCAATATTGTACCGTTTCCTCAATTGGTCTCCGTGGTCTCCAGTCCAGAGACTCTCTGTTTTATCCTCTATGGAAAATGAACATTTTGTCCTTTATACAGAAATGGACATGTGGGGCCGTCTTCAACCACTCCTAAAACACTAAAACAGACATTCAATAAATCCTCCTGTTTCCAGCCCCACTTAATCCTCCAAGTTACATAACTGCAGATTGCAGCGCTCACATAGGAAACCCTGTGAGCAGCCTCCTTTGAAGCTGGTCATCCCTCCAGCCTTATTCCCCCACACTCTCAACGGTATTGTAACTAAGGACCTCAGTTTTAAAAATATACTTCAGTCATCCACTCTCTTTATCTTCCTTCCTGCCGCTCTCACACCTTGATTAAAACCATTTTTTCCTTCCACCCATCCATGTCTTGACTCTGGCTTTTAGGTGGCAAGCTGCTGGACTTAGGACCAGATACAGTATCGTATGTCATGAGCCTTTGGGGAGCTCTTCAGTTTACAACTTGGTGGCTCAAAGATTTCCTTTCTACTGCTTTAGACAGCTTTTTGGGGGGATGTGTTTTCCGAAATCAGCTGCTCTTTCCGTATAGAACCATACATTGAGATTACATGAGTGGCTGTGATGTCTAATGTAACAGAACATTTGATTCTCTTTGTCTATATTGTTTATAGAAAAACATCTCATTGATATGTTTCTTTCCCCTTCCATCTCTGTTACTGTACTAACCATTACCAGATCTTTAACAATAAATTTAGGATTTTAAAATATATTTGTGGCAGGAATTACTGTCTGCCTCTAGAGGTAACATTTGAGTGAACTGTCTTATTGTCATTGGCAACTTCCTTCAGATCATGCCACTGCATTACAGACTGGTCGACAAGAGTAAGACTGTCTTAAGAAAAAAATTAAAAAGATTAAAAAAAAAAAGAAACCTTTCTAAGGTAATAATTGGAGACACTGGCAAAGACATGTGACAGTGTTTTCACTTTCTTTTATTACAATGTCAAAGTATAGAAATACCTAAATATTGAACCATGGAGAGATGATTGAATTGTACAATATTCCTATGTATGGCTGATTGATTCAGTTAGAACTTTACTCACATATTGAACTTCAAAATTTTCACTCCCCCGACCAATGCTTTTTAGCCTTCTATTTTACTTTGCTTCTTAACACTCATCACTGTCTAATATACTATATTTTTCTTGTTTATGGTCTGCCTTTCCCAGAATAGAATCTTCATGAAGGCAGAGATTTTTGTTTTTATTTCGTTCATTCATCTAGCTCCAGTAATTAGAAAACTATACTGCACATGGTAACAACTCGCTAAATATATGTTGAATGAGTCATCAATGCTTTTCTCTTAACTTAATGACATGGGAAAATGTCCATAAAGTATACAATAAAATATGCAGACTCAGAACATAAAAAATATACACACATTCTCACACACACATACACACGACAAAATCTTGACTTCAGGGTGTTCTGCTGAACTTCAGTTGTTCTTGACTTCCACATGTGGAGGTGGAGCATCTTTGTTAAGTTTATAAGTAATATGATTTTCTTTGTTTATGAAATGCCAGGTTATATGTTTCCTTTGTCCAGTTTTGTATTCGTTTCTCTTCTGATTTGTATGAATTCTTCATATTCCATAAACACTACTCCTTTTTCATAGGTGTTGCAAATCATCTTCTTTCCGCTAATGGCTTCTATTCCCTTTTTATAAAGTCTTTTGATAAACTAAAATGTTAATATTATTGTTGTAAAATGAACCAATGTTTTACTTCATAGTTTTTTGTTTTGGGTATGAAATCCTTGTCCACTGGAAGGTATAAACTATTTCTTCATATTTTCTGAATTTTAAAGTTTTTTATTTTTTATTTTAACTCATTAGAACTTACATTTGTTTTTTTGTGTCCAGTGACAGGTAGGGGTCCAATTTTATATTTTTTCTCATCTGTAACTAATGTCCCAGTACCATTAATATTTAGAGTTGCCCATTCTTTCCCAATGGACCTGAAGCAGAACATCTCATGCACTGGGTTCCCTTATAATTTGGCTATTTCTACATTTTGAGCTGTTTGTCTTTCTTATATAACTCTGTAGTCATGTAAGTAGTCTTATGTATGGAGTCTCCCTTCTGATGGAGTTACCTACCCCACTGATATTTTTTTAGGCTTTCTCTTTACTAATAAATATATTTACAAATACAAACCACCTTCTAAAGAATGCTTTAGTTGCACCAAACATATACAAGCTTTGATATGTAGTGTTTTTATTGCCATTCTGTTCTAAACATAACTTCATTTTCTTATTTCAAATGTATTTTTAAATTTCACAAAGTATAGTATATTGTGATCTTCTGGTTAACAAAATCTATGTTGTCAAATTGTGGTCTAAGAATATGATCATATTAATTATTATTATTACTTTTTTTTTTTGAGATGGAGTCTCACTCTATTGCCAGGCTGGAGTGCAATGGCACCATCTCAGCTCACTGCAACCTCTGCCTCCTGGGTTCAAGCAATTCTCCTGCCTCAGCCTCCTGAGTAGCTGGGATTGCAGGCACGTGTCACCACACCCAGCTAATTTTTGTATTTTTAGTAGAGACAGGGTTTCACCATGTTGGCCAGGATGGTCTCGATTTCCTGACCTCGTGTTCTGACCACCTAGCCCTCCCAAAGTTCTGGGATTACAGGCGTGAGCCACTGCGCCTGGCCCGATGATTATTATTTATTGATACTTGCTGTGGCCTAGTACACTGCAATTTTTATAAGTGTTTCATATCAACTTGAAAGGAAAGCATTTTTTGTCATTTTTGAGTATTATGGTCTGTTAATACCCTTTTCATAAAATTTTCATAAATAGTGTTTTCAAATATCCTTATTTTGAGATTTTGTTTTTGGTTTATTGCTCAACCAGTATCTGAGGGAAGTATTATTTAATTGTGGCAAAATACAACATAAAATGACAATTTTAACCATTTTTAAATACAATTCAGTAGTGTTAAGTGTATTCGCATTCAGAACACAACCAGTCTCCACAAGTTTTTCATCTTGTGAAACAGAAACTACATCCATTAAATAACTTGTCCCCTCCCCACAGTGAGTGAGGTATTTTAAACTGTCTCTCTGGAATATCTGTTCACTTATCATGATTTTGTCAACTTTTACATCATATGTATTGAGGCTTTTTATATGCATAAAGGTGAATTTTATTATTACTTCTTACTTTATAATAATGTATTATTTTAAGCATTTTAAGTACTTACAAAGCTGATTATGTATATTTAGTCTCTAAATACCTGCAAGGAATAAGTATAGTGCTTTATTTCTAAGGAGAAATTTCTGTTTTCACCTAGAGAATAGCAAAGTTCCCTATCCTTTCTCTCTTTAAAAAAATCAGTCTACTGTTTGAATGTGCCCTATTTTCTATGTGCTGGCTGGGTGCAGGCATCTGTATTCCCATTCATTATATCACAAAGGTCAAAGGCTTTGTCTCTGATATCTGCAATGCTATCAACACCCAACTCTAAATACAGAGAATGGAAAGGAGAATTGTTACGTATTTTCTAGTGTCTCTAGGTGTTTCTAATTACAAAAGTTGGGTGTTGTTGTTAAGTTATCTTAGCCAGCCACCTTGATGAATTGGGATGTCTCCATGACATAATATTAACCTGAAAAAATACAGTTTGTCGATAGCATTTACTCAGTGATTCCAGAAATGTGTACTGTGAGCCCACCATGCACATGTTTATGGAAGTCCATAAATCATTCTGTCCACTTGAAGAATCATGGTTCATATATTTGGGAAGAGGGCTATATTTCTAAAGCAGGTTACCACAACCCGCAGGCAGGACGCAGAAACTCTGAACCTCTGAACTGAGCAGAAAATAAGTGCTTCCAGGGAGGGAGGAATAAGAAAGGCTAACATGTATGTAACATGTGTCCCATGTTCACTTTGGGGTGGAGACATAGCATTTAAGTGTATTTCAGTTAGGCCTTGTACATCAAAAGGTGAAGTGGAGGATACGAAGGCACTTAGTACACAGCCTTTGTAGACCAGCCAGAGCCATGCTGTGGTGGGTGGTCTCTTATTGGGAAGGAATGCTGGTCAGTTTCTGTGTTAAAGCTGCAAGAGGGAGGACAAGTGTCAGGCAGTTGGCTGAAATCACTGGGCAAGACTTTTGAAAGGGCTGGTTTCTGCCTTCACCCTTAGGGAAGAAAGCCTAATGGTCGTTAGCCATTCTCTAGAGAAACCTTAAAAACCTCTGGTCCCTTTGACCAAGAGGAAGTCTGTTCAGTCAAGTGGGGGGCTTAGGATTCTCTTTATTTCTCAATATATAAGTCCTTCACTCATGGCCTAGCATGATCTAGCAAGGATTCAGTGTGATTCCACTAGTGACAATTTATTTAGTCCTAAGTCCATGTGTATGGACATGTAAATACATGGAAGGCTGCTCAGCAAAATATTGGTTCTGTTTATCTTTGATATCTTGGTGGTAGTTTCTTGGTGGTAGGTAGCATCTTCTTCATGTCTTTCCAAATTATTTTTATTTTGGGGGTTGTATATAAAGAGAATATTATAAGCAAACCAAAAAATGCAAATAGTATATATATAAAATGAAAAATAATTCAAAATATTTAATTGCTCATGATATCATAAAATGGTAGACTTTCTCAGCGAGTGCATATATTTCCTTAACATGAAGTTATTAACATATGGTCAGCATTTTCATTTCAACTTAATGTAGTTTATAGTTCTCACTATCTAAATTGACATTTACTTTAAAATATAGAAAAAGACTTCTCAGATGATAATAATGGTAAGGTTAATTATACATAATGGTCCCATTCTTTTTTTCTGTGAACCAATATGTGAAATCAACGACTATCTTCTCTATGAAAGTTTTAGGTGGCTTAGACAATGTTCATGCTTTATTAGAGTCTCATCTCGAATGGGCAAGAGCCTGCATTGCTTAGGTTAGTACTGGACATAGTGAAGTGATCCATGCCACATAGATGCATAAATCATTTCGAACAGCTGGGCAGTTTCAGGAGGCCAATTAATCAAGTGGAAACCAGGTGTAGAGGCCAATGAAAAGCTTCCCCTTCGCCCTCTGAAGGTTTGCTGAAAAATCAACTCAAAAAAGGTAAATTAACAGGAGAAATGGCATGCAAATTTATTAGTGTGCACAAAGAGAATCACAGAGTGATTGTCAATACCTTAGTGGGGTTCAGAAGCCTGTATACCATGCTGCAGAAGGGGAATCTCAGAGAAAGCCTGGCTGTTTATTTCACCTATATAGATTTTCTGCACAGATGCAAATCTACTCCACGAAAGTCAGCTTTTCTGCACTATTCCTGTCTGCTGGCCCTCTGAATAGCCACCTCAAGACACATCAAAGAACTATGTTTTGGGGTGAAATATTTTTGATTTCCTTTAGCAAAGGAAAGGTTTGTATACCTTTACTCCTTTTGTATATCAGGCACCCAGCCACTCGCTATTGCTTACCTGCACCCCATCCTCATTCCAGAGAGTTATTTCCTGCTTGTATATGTTTCCTTGAACTGCCATAACAAAGTACCATAGACTAGGTGGCCTAAACCACAGAAATTTATTTTCTCACGGTTCAGCAGGCTGGGAAGTCCAAAGTTATGTTGTTTTGGCCAGTTGGTTTCTGGTGAGGGATCTCTTCCTGGCTTGTAGATGGTCACCTTCTAGCTGTGTTCTCACATGGCCTTCTTTAACTGTATGTATAAGGAGAGAGAAAGAGAGAGAGAGGGAGAGAGAACTTCAACCATCTGACCCCTGCTTTGAGCCTCATACTTTGCATATGAGTCCCAAATCCATATGCACATTAATAAATGGATATGCCTTTAAAAAATCTGCCTATAATCAGTTTGTTTTATAGGCTTCATAAAAAGCCACCAATCCTATCAGATTAGGGGCCCAACCTAATCTGATGGGGTGTAACTTTAATTACCTAATGTCACTTTAATTACTTCCAAATGTAGTCTAAATGAATTCAGGTCATAGCAATTCAGTCCATAGCTTGGCTTAACCTGGTCCGCAGTCACAGGTGAAGCTGAGCTATGGACTGAATTGCGGCTCGTCCGAATTCATAGGTTAAATCCCTAACCTACAATTTGACTGTATCTCCAATGTAGCCAAATTGGCAGCTAGGGATTTAACCTATGAATTGGGATGGGCTGCAATTCAGTCCATAGCTCGGCTACACCTGTGACTGCAGGCCCGCTCTGACCCAGGTAAACAGATAGACTTCTCTGTAATTCAGTAGGATAAAACACCTTCTCCAATAAAGTCTTAACTACAGCTTTGGGGAAGGGCTTCTCTTTCCAAGTTCGTTCTTCCTTGAGTATCTTCCCTCAGCTCTAGATTAACTTAGAGAGTTCACTTATATCCTATAGTTAATCTTTTATCATGGTATAATTCTTTATATTAAATTTCTGTTGAAATCACTCTATGGTTTTTATCTTCTGATTTGACCTACACTGCTACAAGAACAGACAAGCTGAGAAGCATGAGCTTGAAATATAACTGCCCCTGGTGTTAATCATTACATTTTTGTGGAATGTATCTGTTATAGGACTAGGTATTCACTTTAATTATACTTGTACTTTAGTTTTATTTAATTATACTTTATTATGATTCTGCCATGTAAAATGTATGCCTGTGAAGAAAATCAAAACATTTCACCCCCAAATATCCTTCTTTGACATCTTTTGAGATGGCTGTTCAGAGGGTCTGCAAATAGAAGTAGCCCTGAAAAGCTGTCTTTCCTCAGGAGGGAGGTTTGCATCCATAGAGAATCTGCCTTGATACAGCCAGGTTTCTCTGGGGCCCTTCCTCATCTGAGTCTAGTCTGACACCTTTAAACTTCTCAAAGAAACATTTACCATCTATTTTCTGTGATGGCTGCTACCTGTGAGGTTTCAGCTACATAACAAGACCAGCTTTGCTGCTAGGCCTCCTCTTCTCTCCCTCCCATAACATGTCCCACCACCATAACTTGATTCACCACCATAACCTGGTTTTGGCCATGCTCTGAGCTGCCATTCTTTCTGTAGCCTCGAGATGGCATACAAACTTCAACCATCTGACCTTCGCTCTGAGTTTATTAATACTTTGTATGTGATACCTAAGCCCATATGCATGTTAATAAATTTGTATGCCTTTTCTTCTGTTAATCTGCCTATTTTCAGTTTGTTTCATAGGCTTACATTATCAAAACTTCAGTGGGAAAATGTAAACTTCCCTGCAATGCCAGTGCAGCACAAAGCTTAGAGCATATGGTAACCCTGAGAGGAGGGCCGCTGCATCAGGGGGACCTCACAAGACAAGTCTGGAAGGTAGGGACAAGCAGGCAGAGGGAATCAGGGTGGCAGTGTGGGCAAGAGACCTGGACCACATAGCGTCTCTCTCAAGAGGGCTGCATGAAGGTGGTCACTAGGACAGGCTAGGACTGAGGGGTGGTGTATTTTGAACATGTCACTGGGGCAGAATGACACCAGATGTTCTCATACCCACACTGCTGGCACACCATGCAGCAGCTGGAAAGAGCAGAACAGCCTTCTTTCTGCTTACTGGTATCCTTACTGGTAAGCAGAAATGCTTAAAGATGTCCATTAGTACAGAACATGTATTGAAGACTGCATTTGGAGATCAGAGGCAATAAATTGAAAACTAGCATGATTCTCTTAGTCACTTTTTACATAATAGATTCTAATAATTTAAGACTTTTTTTGTATGTGATTTATTGTAGCCCATGTGTTACAAAGGATCTGAGAATTAGACACTTTAATTGTAATATATTACTAACTTTAATATGGACTGTTGTTACCCCATTTATGGGAGTGAAATATGCTGCAAGAAACATTACAATATGTCTAAAGTAACTTCTTAAACTTGCAAAAATCAGAGTGGATATGCCACATCATTGCACTCTAGTGTGAAAATCCAGACATACAAGAGCAGGTCAGACACCACCTGGGATAAGCTTTCACCTATCCTCCTTTTATGATCAGAAATTATTTTGCAAATTTTGCATTTCTACAAAATTATCTTAGGTTATTATCTAAATTCACCATTTAAGATTCACCATTAAAAAAAATTTCTGGGCTGGGCGCAATGGCTCACAGCTGTAATCCCAGCACTTTGGGAGGCTGAGACGGGCAGATCACGAGGTCAAGAGATCGAGACCATCCTGGCTAACACGGTGAAACCCCGTCTCTACTAAAAATACAAAAAAATTTAGCCGGGCGTGGTGGCGGGCGCCTGTAGTCCCAGCTACATGGGAGGCTGAGGCAGGAGAATGGCGTGAACCTGGGAGGCGGAGCTTGCAGTGAGCCCAGATGGCGCCACTGCACTCCAGCCTGGGTGACAGAACTAGAGTCCGTCTTAAAATATAATATAATATAAAATAATATAATATAATATAATATAATATAATACAATAATATAATATAATATAATATAATACAATATAATAATAATATAATATAATATAATACAATATAATATAAAAATTAAAAATTCTGATACCTTCTAAGGGAGGAAGATGTACTATTTGTTCTTTAAATTCTCACGGTATTTCCACATTGGAGTCCCCAAATACAAGAGCTCTAATGAGAAAGTGACTGCTCAGAAATTTGAGCAGACGTTTTATCCTTATGCCTTCATTTCTTTCATTGCTTAATAAACTCTAATGGATAATAGTGAACACATTTCTATATAGTTTCCGATCAAACGATTCTGTGAAAATTTAGTCAAGGAATCAAGAGAAAGTACAGTCATTTCTCCAAAGGAGCATTTCAACAGACATTTCATCAAAAACAAAATTTAAAATGGCAACCTGTGTGAAACACTTTGGCAGAATAATAATAATAAATAATTTGGATGCAAGCTGAATACATGAATTATTTTACTGGGGTGGAGGATATGGGCATTGCATGCTTATTACATTTTTGGTTTGTATTGCCCTACATGTTATTTAATGTCCTAGTGTTTTGACAAAGACAGGCATAAAATGAGCACTAATATTTTAGTTTCTGTCTTCTTTTTTTTTTTTTTTTTTTTTTGAGACGGAGTTTCGTTGTCTCACCCAGGCTGGAGTGCAGTGGCGCGATCTTGGCTCACTGCAAACTCTGCCTCCCGGTTTCATGCCATTCTCCTGCCTCAGCCTCCCGAGTAGCTGGGACTACAGGCGCCTGCCACGACGCCCAGCTAATTTTTTGTATTTTTAGTAGAGACAGGGTTTCACCGTGTTAGCCAGGATGGTCTCGATCTCCTGACCTCGTGATCCACCCGCCTCGGCCTCCCAAAGTGCTGGGATTACAGGCGTGAGCCACCGCGCCCGGCCTAGTTTCTGTTTTCTTAAGGAAATAGACCAGTCCTTTGCAAACACATGTTTTATTTCCTAGTAAACTCATCTATTGCTACAACTGTGCAATTTAAGGGACAAATCATTCCTCCTTAATCTCCGTTGATGGCAATTCCATCTGGTGCCCAAGCTAATGACTTTGGGATCACCACTCTTCTTCTCTCACACTCTACATCCAGTCTAGAAAGAAATCTTATTGGTTCTATCACACTTACAAAACCTATCAAAAACCCTACCACTGATTAAGAACTCCATTGTCACCACCCTGATCAAAGCCATATTTTTCTCTTTCCTGGACCAATTTAACGGCCTCTGGAGGAGGACTGGCCCCTAGATGGCCTCAGCGGACCCAGCTTTCTTCTCCCCTTCCCCATTTCCTGGCTTACAGTTTTAGAATAACTGTAGAATGTGCTAAGAATGCAGTATCTTGATATATAGAGGAACTTTCTAGAAAAGCCTGGGCTTTGTCCTCATTCCTTGTAGAACGGGATGTCCTATAATGCTTTTGCTCAGTGACCCACCCACGGGATGCCCTGGAGCTAAAACCCAGAGCGGTGTGCTTTCAGAGTCCTTCAGCTGTAGTGCAAAGTGGAGCATGTGTAGATGAGTATATATTCTCTTTATACCAGAAGTAAGTATAGTTTCATTCAGTGAAAGTCACTGTCCCTAATCTATACAATACTCAAAGTTTAAAAAAAATACTCTATGTTAAAAACTGTGAGCATTGAAAGCTGACTTATCTATTCAGAGATCACATATAGTAAAGGGTATTACAGTATAAAATACCAAGAAAGCAGATCAGCTGATGAAAATTACTGATTTTGAACGTCTTTTTAATCATTATATGACATCCTGATAAGTTTTCCTGAGGAATTAAATGCTTCTGGGATCTTAAAGTACATTTTCTACAAAGAAGTCATAGTGTTTTCTTAAAATAAGCTACCAATTAAAGCAAGAATGTGGAGTAGATGGCATTGGTAGATACAATCAACTAAAACATTGTTTTTATTTTCACTCCAGAGTACGGTGAGCTTATATTCACAATTAGTAAAAGGAAGCAGAGTTGATTTTCTACAACTTCTTCTGTTTCTTCTCTCAAAACCTTCAGAGAGAGGAAAAGGCAAAGGAATGCAGTATTCTCCCATTTAAGTCCACATTACAAATGCAGTTAAAGGGAATATAATATTGCTAAATAAGACCTCATCATGATGTGTATTCTATGACAGTTTATTTTGACTCCTTTAACTGAGCGTTGTGTGAGTTTCTTTAGTTTATTTGTTAGCCACTCGGTTACGAAGATCAGGATGTTTTTAGCTTTTTAGACACAATATTTGTCGAAGCTCTTCTTCTCATACTATACTTTTCTAAAATGAATTTGAAAGTAGTGAGATGTCTTATCAACTTTCCATAAAATTCTCATTTCCTTGAGCCTGTGTAAACAGCTGACTAAACACATGGCTATTCACTGTCAGGACTTGCTCCTCAGCATCTGCCACGGAAAAGATTCGATTGCACACATACGAACCCAATGCCAGCACCCCAAGGGACAGGGCAATAGAAATGGGAGGGAAATGATCAAGTCAATGAATGATACACTCCATTAATCTTAATGTTAGGACATTAATATTGCTTGGCAACTGCCTAAAATCAACAATAAGCGATCAACCAATTTGTTGCCTAAAAGTTATTGATTTAACCATCAATAACTTAACAGCATAACCATAACAATAACTTTAATTTACTAACTTTAAATAACTAAAGTTCTTTAACAATAACGATAACAGCATATATGTACATCAGTTACGCATTAAAAGATGGATATTTTTTGTGTACATCTGAATGGAGAATATTAGATAATGTAGAAAGACATGAGATGAAGTTGATAATACAACCCCTTAGAGCTTTAATAAATGAGCTCTCTCAGTCAAGCCACAGTAACGACCTTTTCTCTGTGATATGAGCCAGGACTCTGCAGGTGTACAGAGGAGATAAACTGCAATTATAAAGTACAATTAACAGGTAGTAGCGGTCTCATTTATTATACACACCTACGCATGTTTCCAAGCCTGATGATCACTAAGTATTCACAGCAAGTAATCACCCACTGGACAAAACAGCATTACTTCACCTTCTGAAAAAGTAGTTTCTACTACTTTGAAAAGCTTGTTGGTGATGAGACGAAAACTGAAATAGGTTACAATTCTAATACACACACAGTACAGGTAACACAAAGAGTCTTTCATTATTTAACATTCTTAAGCATCACCCAAAATGCCAAAAAGAAATACGGTAAGTTTCAAGGTTTTGCATAAAGTACTACACTGAGCTTTTAAAGTGAAGGGCTTAGTCACCCAAATACCGTCTTAGGCCTTATAGTATCTCTCCTGAGTTCCCAGTATATAATTTATTATACCAAACAGATCATTCTCCAGAGTTCTTTTGATATTTCTAGATCTCTCTCAACTTATAACCTAATCAGCTCCCTCAATCCCACATAGGCCTCAAGCTAATCTCAATCACTTTTCTTCCATTCATTTTTCATTCACTTATTTACAAATACGTATTTTGCATGAATTGTCTGCCAGCACTGTTTTAGGGGCAGAAAGAATATGATAGTACCTAAGAAAGGCCCTCATTCTTATATCTCTTTAAAGGAAGATAAAAACTTTTAACAAGGTAAATATTTAAAAATACTTTAAAGGAGACCAGGCGTGGTGACTCATGCCTGTAATCCTAACACTTTGGGAGGGAGAAGTGGGTGGATTGCTTGAGGTCAGGAGTTTGAGACCAGCCTGGGCAAAATGGTGAAACCCTGTCTGGACTAGACATACCCGCCCCTAAAAAAATTAGCTGGGTGTGGTGGCACGTGCCTGTAATCCCAGCTACTTGGGAGGCTGAGGCAGGAGACTCACTTGAACCTGGGAGGCAGAGGTTGCAGTGAGTGGAGATCATGCCACTGCACTCCAGCCTAGTCAACACAGCAAGACTCCATCTCAAAAACAAAAAACAAAGAAACTTTAAAAGACACAAAATGCTATAATAGCAGAGAGTGATAATTGCTACAAGGAAAATAAAATATGATTATGGAAAACAAATGAACTGGTTGATCCAACTCCTGTCTGTGTCCACTGCTACCATTTTGGAGTGAGCTCTTGTTAGGTCGCCACTCACCCAGGCTCCAGTGATACCCTAATTGGTTTCCTTCTGTTAATGGCCTTCATTGCTTTTTCTGCAGCGCAGTCAATCTGTCAGGTAGGGCTCTCTAGAAGCAGAGCCTGCAATAGCAATTATTGAGCAACTTTTCTTGAGAGAATAACCTTATGAGAGGGGAATAGTAAGTAGGGTGAGACAAAGATGAGATCTACCTAAGCCAGGATGATCTCAGCACAAGACTGGCTCAGCCTGACACCCAGAGTTTTGGAGCATGGATTGCATTACAGAGTTGGCCTGACGTTGAGGCTAGAGGAATAGCCCTTTATACCATGTGTCAGTCAGTCACTGGCTACAGGTTGTCCAGGCGAGGCAGCTCCCTTAAGTCTGAAGAAGTGCTCAGGAGAGAACAGGGCACTTGTGAGCCCTTAGCTACCAACAATAGTATGCGGGGGTGCAATGCAGAGGCCTAGTAAAGTGGGACTGAATGGAGCAGCACCCTTTAATTTAAAAGAAGAAGAAAATGGATATTGATTAGAAACACAGCAGCATCTGCCGCAGTTAGAAAAAGCATGACTATGTGGTGTTTCTGTAAGAACATGAGAGAATGTCAGTGAAGCACATCATAACAGTGATTGGAGCATGAGTTCTCAGTCAATGGCAGTTATTTTGATTGTGACAGAGATTGAGATGTTTATAACTTGAATAGCTGGCACTAGAATTCCTATTACAGAAGAATTCCTAATGTTGAAGTACTAGTTTGATGAGCTGCTTGGGATAAAATTGAAACTTCAAAGTTATGCCCATTGGCAGGAGTTAAAGCAGCAAAGGGGGCACCAAAACTATCTTGTGTGAGAAAAGGAGACCAATTTAGTTTTTGCTCCGGAGAAGAGAAAAGACAGAAGAGAAGGGAGGGGAAGGAGGGAGATGCGGGAAGGAGGGAGATGCAGGAAGGAGAGCCAGGATCATGCTAGAGAAGCTCAGAGGGAATTAGCTGGCCAAGCAGTGGGGAATTAACTTTTAAAGAATATAAGGCTTGGCCTGGGTGCAGTGGCTCACACCTGTAATCCCGGCACTTTGGGAGGCCAAGGCGGGTGGATCACCTGAGGTCGGGAGTTCGAGACCAGCCTGACCAACGTGGAGAAACCCATCTCTACTAAAAATACAAAATTAGCCAGATGTAATGGCACATGCTCGTAATCCCGGCTACTCAGGAGGCTGAGGCAGGAGAATAGCTTCAACCCGGGAGGTGGAGGTTGTGGTGAGCCAAGATTGCGCCACTGCACTCCAGCCTGGGCAACAAGAGTGAAACTCCATCTCAAAAAAAACAAAACAAAACAAAACAAAAAGAAAGAATATAAGGCTTATGTTTACAGTAATTTTTGTTACACCTCCATATCTTCTGTAAGGTTATTGAAAATAAACTAATGGGTTACATGTATATGTGTCTTTTTTTGGTGAAAATTGAGGGAGAAAATAAATCTTATTTATGAGATAGGATGTTTGAATCATAGAGAAAGAATAATCTATAAAGTGAAGAAGTTGGAATTCTCAGCCAGAGGTGACTGTACTATCTGGAATATCCTGAGAAACAGAACCAATAGCAGAGACAGAGGGAGAGCGAGAAAGACTTACTATAGGTAATTAGCTTATGTAATTCTGGAGGCTGAGAAGTCAAGTTCGCAGTTGGCAAGCGGGAGACCCAGGAGAGCCAATGGGAGAGTTCCAGTCTGAGTCTGAAGGCCTGAGCACCACGAGAGTCAATGGTGGAAGTTCCAGTCTGAAAACTGGCAGGCTCAAAATCCAAGAAGAGCCAATATTTCAGTTTAGTCTGAAGACAAGAAAAAAGTCATGACCCAGTTCAAACAGTCAGGCAGGAGTTTTCTCTTTCTTACTGGAAGGTCAGAGTAATTTTAGTTCTATTCAGGCCTTCAACTGATGGAGTAAGGACTACTCACATTAGGGAGAGAAGCTCGCTTTACTCAGTCTACTGATTCAAATGTTAATTTCATCCAAAAGCACCATCACAGACATAGCTGGGATAATGTTTCATTAAACATCTGGGCACCTCATGACATAGTCAAATTTCCACATGAAATTATTCATCGCAAGTCCACCTCTTGTCAACTTGGCATCCATACACATCTCCTTAAACTATACTTAATCTCCAAATAAAGAAAATAGCAAGGCCATGCTTCTGTCTAATATATCATCATCCCATGTACCACTGAAGACACACCTACCCCTTCCCCAGAAAAGGAGGTATAATCCTCGAATGATGTTTACTTTTCTCCTTGATATCCTGCAACTTAAATGTTATAATATAAAATCAACAACACTTAAATGCAATGATATAGTCAATACATCCCTTATAAGGGAATAAGACAGCAGAAAAACAATAATATTTGCTTAATGCACGCACACACATTTGTATGTATTCATAACAAAAAAGGAGGAAATGCTGATAACAATTTCAATCTTGATTTCTGTAACTGGTCATGTGGTCATAGCTGGTATTTATAGCTACCTTCTTCCACTAAGCACCTCACTTCTTCCACTAAGCACCTCAGCTGGTCGTGATTATTTCCTTGTTGGGATGACCCAAGGCTTCATTCCTGAAGGGTCTGGGCCATTAGTTGTCCTGCCTGGATTAGGTGGTTGTCATTTTCCATTGACCATAATTACAGAATATTATAATCCCAAGGACACCCTAAGGGTATATATATTGCAGACACACCCTTCCTTATCTCCATTTGGAAGTACGAGTCCAAGTTCCCCTTGCCAGTTAAGATCAATAACCAGAACTAGCCCAGTAACTCTCTTCCTTGCCTGTTGATTTACAGGCATGAGGAATCCAAAGCCACTGGGTAACAGTTTTAATTTCCAGTTCTATAAAGGCATTGTTGTGTCTCTTGGTGGAAGCAATCCTTCATTTGAAACAGACTTCTAGGCCAGCAGATCATAAAGTTGTAGGATCAAGAGGCAAACATTTTGCTAGTAGGTCACTAGGAATAACGGTGAGTGAGACCACTCCCACTTTCTTCCCTTGATTACTGGACCTGTGAATTCTGCCTTTTGGAGAAACAGCATCATATTTTCGATGCTGATTTAAAGCATGCAGACTCCTGAGGAATCTTTCCCCAGCTCAGTACTGCCACCTGGCTGACACTGTAACTGAGTCTGCAAAAGGCCATTCCATCATTCTACCAAACCAGCTACTTCAGGATGGTAGGAAACATAGTAAAGTCGATGAATTCCATGAACATGGACCCATTGCTGCACTTCTTTTCCTGTTAACTGAATTCCCTGATCAGAAGCACTGCTGTATGGAAAACAACGACTGTGGTTAAAGCATTCTGTAAGCCCATGGATGGTAGCTTGGGTAGAAACATTGCATGTAGGGAAGGCAATTCTATATCCAGAGTGTCTGTTCCAGTAAGAATAAAACACTGCCCTTTCCATGATGAAAGTGGCCCAATGTAATCAATCTGTCACCAGGTAGCTGGCTTATTACCCCAGGTGCATATCAAGGATTCAGAGTTGGTCTGCGTTGCAAGCATACTGGACCGTCACAGTGGCCATGGCCAGGTTGGCCTTGGTGAGTGGGAGTCCATGTAGGCTAAGTCTCCATCCTGCCACTGTGGATACTTTGTTCCTAAGTCTACTGGGAGATGACAGAAGTGGCTGGCGAAAGAGGCTGATAGGTATCCACAGAATGGGTCATCCTATCCACTTGATTTTTAAAATTCTTCTCTGCTGAGGTCATCCTTTGGTGAGCATCCACATGGGACACAAATATCACCATGGTTTTGTCACTCATTCAGAGAGGTCCACCCACACATACCTCTTTCCCAGGTTTCCTTGTCACCAATCTTCTAATTATGTTTACACATTATGCCATTTGTTCTTTCCAAGCAAAGTGAACAACCTGGTGCACTATTTGAAGTTGAGTCCACTGGGACAACTTCTCTTCACCACTGTCCAGGGATGTCCCAGAGAGGGGCTACAGTGCTGCAGCTATCCACTTTCAGATGATTCCTGAATATTATGCAAAACCCTCTGTAATCCAGGCCCAAGTCTTCTCTTCTTTAGTCAACTGATAATGGGGAGCTCCCCATGGGACCATAAGTGCAGGCTGCGAGAGAAAGGTCAGTGTAGCAGATGTGGGGACCATGGGCTTTTGGGTCACTTTTTCATGTAACTTACTTGTGCCTCAGAGCCTGCTCAGACCTAATCATGTGTATACCACTTCCATTAAATGCTGGAGTGCTCCTCTGCATGCCTAGCTTCATAGCTTGGTGAATCAGATAACACCCAGCTCATCACATGCAGCTCAGATCACATGGCAACTTGGTGGCCCAGGGTTACGAGTTCTGTATCTACTAAGGTCTAGTAGCAGGCCAAGAGTTGTTTCTCAAAAGGAGAGGAGTTATTCACAGGAGATGGCAGGACTTTGCTCCAATATTCTAAGGCCCTGTGCTGTTACTCACTTATAGGGCTTGTCAAAGTCTCCAAACACCATCCTATCTGCCACTGGCACTTCAAGCACCATTGGATCTGCTAGATCATACGGCCCAAGCAGCAGAGAAGCTTGCACAGCAGCCTGGACTGCTACAGAGCCTTCTCTTATTCTGGGTCCCACTCAAAAGCAGCAGTTTTCTAGGTCACTCAGTAGATGGGTCAGAGTAACACACGCAAATGAGGAGTATGATGCCTTCAAAATCCAAAGAGGTCCACAGAGTGTTGAGTCTCTTTTTTTCGTTGTAGGAGAGACCAGAAGCAACATCACCTTAAAAGGAATATCTTGATGTGCCCAACATCACTAGACCTCTCGAAATTGTACTGAGGTAGAAGGCCCCAGCATTTTAGTTGGATTTATTAACCACTCCCTGACATGTATGTCTTACCAGTAATGCCATCAGTGTAACGGACCAGTAATATCTTGTGGAAGTAAAAGGTAATCAAGATCCCTGCCAACTAAATTTTAACATCGGCCTAGAAAGTTGACATATCTGTGAGGCAGGATAGCGAAGATGGATTGCTGGCCTTGTCTGCTGAAAGAAAATTGCTTGTAATGAGACTTATGAACAGATACAGAGGAAAAAAAGCATTTGTCATGTCAATGGCTGCATATCAGAGGATGTGTTAATTTATTCAATGAAACCACATCTGATACAGCAGCTGCAATTGGAGTTACTATCTAGTTAAGCTTACTGTAATCTGTCATTCTCCAAAATTCATTTGTTTTCTGCACAGTACAAATAGGTGAATTGAATGGGGGATGTGGTGGGAATCACCACCCTTGCATATTTCAAATCCTTAATGGTAGCATTAATGTTTGCAACCTCTCCAGGAATGCAGTACTAACTTTGATTTACTACTTTCCAAGGCAGAGTCAGTTCTAGCGGCTTCCATTTAGCCTATCTCACCATAATAACCCTTGTCCCTTACACAAGTTAAGGAACCAATGTGGGGTTCTTCCAGCTTCTGAGTATATCTATTCTAATCATGCATTCTGGAAACAAGAAATAACCACAGGATGGATTTTGGGACTCACTGGGACCACTGTGAGACAGATATGGGATAAAACTCCCTGAATCACCTGATCTCCATAAGTCCTTACTTTGACTGGTGACCCACAGAGGGGGTTTAGGTCTCCTGGAATTAGTGTCAGTTCAGGGCCAGTGTCCAGTAGTTTCTAATAGGTCTGATTATTTCCTTTTCCCCGTTGCATAGTTACCCTGCTAAATGGTACCTTACTTTTGGGGAAGTTGTGAGGAAGTTTAACAGTGTAATTATTTTTGCAGTGTATGGTGCTCCTTCCTCAAGAGTACTTGGCCTCCCCTCCAGGGGGTTCTGGGGCTATAAACTGGCTCTAATATGGGAATTGATTGAGGAGTTGTGACTCTGGTCTAGGTTAAACTTATATTCACTTGACCTAGGAATTTTCTGCTTACCCAGTGATACAGTTTGGATATATATCCCCAGCCAAATCTCAGGTTGAACTGTAATCCCCAGTATTGGAGGTGGGGCCTGGTGGAAGATGACTGGATCATGGGGGTGGAGTTCTCATGAATGGTTTGGCACCATTCCCTTGGTGCTGTTCTCATGACAGTGGGTGCCTTCTCATGAGATCTGGCTGTTTAAAAGTGTGGCACCTAACTCTCTCTCTTTTGCTCCAGCTTTCACCATGTGACATGGAAGCTCCTGCTTTGCCTTCCACCATGATCCTGAGGCCTCCCCAGAAACAGATGTCAGTGCTAATGCTTCCTTGTAGAACCATGAGCTAATTAAACTTCTTTCCTTATAAATTACCCAGTCTCAACTATTTCTTTATAGTAATGCAAGAACAGCCTTATGTATACAGAGAAAGTAAGAATTTAGTAGTCTTCCAGAGTATTTCACCTCTAGAACCATCATGCTCAACTAACCAACACCATAAATCTGCACAAGTGAGATGATTCTGATTGCTGTCTTGAGTCTGCCTCCCTTACAGGAACCACACCCACTCTCACTTTGGTACCACCCCTTGGCTCCTGCCATCCTGGGATCCAATTACTCCCATTGTCTAGATTTTCCAAACAGTGACTGCATTCTCCACTGTAAGGTCTGGCAATCACAAAGCTCTTCAGAGACACTTAGGCTCTCCTTACAAATTGATTTCTCACAATAGCAGTGAAAAGAAGTACATCTTCTGTTTTCTCCCAATGAGGGTGGTTAGATCTGAAATGGCAAATCTATTCTAACATTCCGATCTCCCTAAGCCTTTGAATGCTTTCCTCTACAGATGGTCCCCTTTAAGATGGTTCCTGTTGCAATGGTGTGAAAGTGATGCACATTTAGTAGAAACCACACTTTGAATTTTGAATCTTGATCTTTTCCCAGGTTAGATCTGCTGTATAACACTCTGTTGCAATGCTGGGCAGCTGCAGGGAGCCACAGATCCCAGCCACCCACACCATCACAAGGGTAAATGACCAATACTCAGCTGTGTACTGTGAGTGTGCTGTGTTGCCAGTGGTTTTTATTTTTTATACTTTTAATGTTTTAATTTTTTCTTATTTTTCATAAGTTATTGGGGGTACAGGTGGTATTTGGTTACATGAGTAAGTTCCTTAGTGGTGATTCGTGAGATGTTGGTGCACACATCACCCAAGCAGTGTACACTGTACCATATTTGTAGTCTTTCATCCCTTGCCCCCCTCCCACTTTTCCCCCCAAGTCCCCAAAGTCCATTGTATCATTTTGCATTCTCAAGCTTCATCAGAAGAGAGAGAAACCAATGACCCTGTCACTATAACCTCTCCATCAGCCAGCAATTAATTTTAGTTCAATGTTTCAAATTTTCTTCAGGCTCCGCGCACTTTCAGCTGTGTACATTAATGGTTAGTACCCATACAAGTATTCTGTTTTTCACTTTCAGTATGGTATTCAATAAATTAGGTCAGCTATTCATTACTTTAGTATAAAATAGGCTTTGTGTTAGGTGATTTTGCTCAACTATAGAATAAAGTAAGTGTTCTGAGCATGTTTAAAGTAGGATAGGCTAAGCTATGATGTTTGGTAGGTTAAGTGTATTAAATGCAGTTTGACTTGCAATATTTTCAAGTTATGGTAGCTTTATTGGGATGTAACCTTATAGTAACTAGAGGGGTATCTATACATTCAACCAAGGCAGGTCTGGCATTTCCAACTTACTCACTGTAGGCCACCTTTTGGTCTAGGCTTTAGTCAACCACAGAAAGTGTTAGAGCCCTTTCTGACTCCTGAGACGCACATTAACTGTATAATCTATGCTTAGTAAAAGTAATTTCAGCCTGAGGTAAGTTGGTGTTCCTCCACCAATATCTCTCACACTTAATATCCATTCTCACATGTTTCCTAGGTTTCTGTCTGTATAATTTTAAAAACTCAAACAATTATTGTAGAGTGTAGCACACCTCCTCATGGGCCACACTTTATACCTCACCTTTAGGGGCCCGCTGAGATGAGTCTAGTTCTAGATCCAGAAGCAAAGAAAGATGGTAGGCATGGTTCCTGAGAATATTCAGCATTTTCTTGATGGCAGCTTCCTCAGGGGAGGCCACTAAAATTTCATCAGTCACTAAGAGGTTACTCTCTTCAAATGGGGGTAGAGAGGCTGCTCCCCCTGGGGCTGGGGAGACATCTTCCAGCAGAAAAGAACTTAGTGGTTCAGTGTTTCCAGCTTCATCCAGGTCTTCCCTCACATCACATCCCCACTCCAATATTCAGATTCCATTCCTTCCCAATCAATGCCCTCACTTTCCCCATAAATACTCTACAAGGCTGGGAGTTCAAACTTACATTGTAATTCAGCCAGTCACAGGATGAGTTTCTGGGCTTCATTTTCAGCAATCTTAGACCTGAAATTACAGGAGATAAATGTCTCCTTCAGGGCACACATAGAAGCTTTCAGATCATTTAGGTAGCATTTGAGCTGGGAATTTTAATCGTTAAGCTCATCTTTCTCTTTCTATACTTTGTCCAGCACCATTAGGAACAATCAGTCCTGAACTGTTATATTCAATAGCTTGTCGGAAATGTTTGAAAGTACCATATACACAGTCATCCATATCCATGCTTTTTGTAAGTAGTTGATTAGGACTATCCAAGGGTGATATTTTGCATATTTCTATTGCCAAATCACGCCAGGTACTGTGAGTGCTTTCTTTACCACTGGAAACAGAACCACTAGCATCTTTAATTCTAATCAGATTAGAAAGCCAATTCTGGAAACTTCAGAACAAATTCAAGAAATTTATTCTTAAAATTTTGTTTCTCTAGAACCACTGTTAGTACTAAATCACACTAATCTCAGTACTAATCTGTATTAGTCACGTACCTTCCAAAAGAAAAAAACCCAGAACCCACTAGATGCTTAGATGGATATGTGGACACATAGGTACATTTATTGTAAGAAATTGGTTTATGTGATTACAGAGACTGAGGAGTCCAAAATTTGCAGTTGGCAAGCTAGAGACCCAGGGAAGTTGGTAATGTAGGTCCACCCCAATTCCAAAGGCCTGAATACCAGGAAAGCTGATGGTGTAAGTTCCAGTCCCAGTCTGAGTCCAAAGGCAGAAGGACACTGATATCCTGTTCAAAGACTATCATAGAGAAACAATTATTTATTACTCAAACTTTCATTCCATTCAGGCCTTCAAGGAACGATATGAGGTCCACCTACAATGTGGAGAGCAATCTGCTTTACTCAGTCATACCTGGGAGGCTTCAAGACTTCCGAGGAGGGTGTTAAACTTCCTTCAGACATGGAATTAAATTTTGATTCAATTTTATCCAACTGTCTTGGGAAAAGGGGAATGCTTCACCTACTGGATGGTTTAAATTATTTTGTTGTAATCATTATAAAAATGTGTACATCTGTGGACAAAAAGAAACAATGAATGAGCCAAATACATACTTGGAAATTCACAAAAATGTTAGTTTTATATAGACATAATCTGATAAGCTTGGAAATTTTAAAAAAATGCTTTTCGAATAAGCTCAGTGTTTACAATAGTCTTGTTTCTTTTACTTGTCAAAGGCTCTGCTGTCTGAAAATATTCAAACCATGAGTTTCATGGGCCCTGCCTGTGAGAAAATGTGCATTTTCCACATAAAATCCATTTCCTTGTCAGATAATTTACAACTCACCCTGTTTAAACAGACTCTGTATTTAAAGCTAGAAGATTTATCACACAGCAAGTTCAACCTCAGGAATTCCATATAAGTCCACAAGCACATGTGTCTAAAAACTGTTGAGTAAGTAAATTCAATGATGAAAACTGTAATTTATATCAAGGATGAGAAATACTCTCTTTGTAGGTCTATTGTCAATGACTAATATATGAAGAATTAATGCAGTTGATCATCTAAATAATGCTACACATGTCTGTTTCCATTGGCCTGTGGACAAGAACATGTGTCAGTAAAAAAAAGAGTTTTGAAATAAATCTCAGATATTATGATTGTTTCATTTTCTCTAATAAAATGTGAACATTTATTCATTCTTGGAAAATAATTTTGAATAGAGGTATATTCAGGTATATGTGTTATATTCCTTTATTGTTAACTTTATAGGCATTAGTTTCATTAATTAAATATAATGTGGCTTTGGTGGAATGAAAAAACACTAGCCTGAAGCTGAACTGGTCACTTTTCAGTTTTGTGTTTGGTGGGTGTGGACAGACATGATGTAATTCTTTGGAGAATTGAGACAACTTGGGAGATTTACAGGGCACATATGATCGTATTTCCATTAGTGAAATTGTCACACATTAAAGACAGAGTAGGCATATTAGAGCTAAAATGTATTCAAAGGACCTTTATCAAATAAATGTCAGTTGTGGAAATAAATGTTAAGTTGGAATATGTGAAAGACAAATGGAAAATAAAGGGAGACCATTCATTCACGGACAGGTAGAGAAACATTCAGTGAAAGCTAAAAAGATTGAAATAGGGTCGGCTGGGTGCAGTGGTTCACGCCTGTAATCCCAGCACTTTGGGAGGCCGAGGTGGGTGGATCACGAGGTCAGGAGATTGAGACCATCCTGACTAACATGGTGAAACCCCGTCTCTACTAAAAATACAAAAAAAAAAAAAAAAAAAAAAAATTAGCCGGGCGTGGTGGCAGGTGCCTGTAGTCCCAGCTACTCCGGAGGCTGAGGCAGGAGAATGGCGTGAACCCAGGAGGCGGAGCTTGCAGTGAGCCACGATCACACCACTGCACTCTAGCCTGGGTGACTGAGCAAGACTCCGACCGTCTCAAAAAAAAAAAAAAAAAAGTTTGAAATAGAGTCATGAAAGGCGTTAGCCGGGCGCGGTGGCGGGCGCCTGTAGTCCCAGCTACTCGGGAGGCTGAGGCAGGAGAATGGCGTGAACCCGGGAAGCGGAGCTTGCAGTGAGCCGAGATTGCGCCACTGCAGTCCGCAGTCCGGCCTGGGCGACAGAGCGAGACTCCGTCTCAAAAAAAAAAAAAAAAAAGAAAAGAAAAAGAAAGGCGATTTATTTGTTTTCAGATAAGTGACATTTAGATAACAATTTGAAACGTTGATAGAAAGTTCCAGTAGGATGGGAATTATTGAAAGAACAAGAGAGTAGGGAAATAGTTGACAGGAGATGCCAGGAGGTGGACGGAGAGCACAAGTAGACAGATTTTACTTTCCCGGAGGGATTCCTCAACTGGATTGGAAGGGAAGGCAACAAAAAGTGACTGGGACATAGCGTGATTTTAAAGGCAGAATACATCAAAGTCTGGGGGTAGTTGATGCAGAAGACTTTGAACAAATGTGAATATGTCTTTATGGAATGTTCCCATCCTGCACCAATATAAGTGTGCTGCTAAACCAGAGAGAGCTCTCTGGAAGGGACTTCCTTGCTAGTGTTACAAGAAAGGGGTCCCTATACAGACCCCAAGAGAGGGTTCTTGGATCTCGTGAAAGAAAGAATTCAGGGCCAGTCCACGGTGCAAAGCAAAAGCAAATTTATTAAGAAAGTAAAGTGGCGAAAGAACAGCTACTCCATAGACAGAGCCAGGAGTTCCCAAAAGGAAGAAGAGGAACGCGTCCACCCTAGGTACAACGCTTGTTTATATATAGGATAAATAAAGATCATGGGAAGATGTGCTATGCTACAAGGGTTTGTGATAAAGGATTAATTTTCTTATGTTTTGCAAGGATCGATATTATTATCTTTAAAGCAAAATTAGGAATGCTTCTGTTCTCAAGATATCAGGATATCAAGACAATCCCAAGTCTGGGCCTGTTTAGTAAACATTATCAATCTGTTCTCTTAGCAGTAAACATCTAGAGGCTAGGAATGCCTAACTTTCTATGAATGCAGCCCAGCAAGTCCCAGCCTTATTTTCTTAGCCTTCACTCAAGATGGAATCATTCTGGCTGGAAAGCCTTTGACACTAGGAAAAGCACAAATTGTATAAGTGGAACAATTTGGAAACAAGAGTCAGGTAGTCTTTCTTTAGACACAACACGACTTTGACATAACAATTGCAAATAATGCTTTGCAACCACGTCAATAGTGGTATCTTGAGGGGAACTACAGAATTTGAAAATAAATGTACTCTTTACCTAATTACTAATTTTTTTCATTTATTCTTATGTCTTACAAATATGATTATATTTGTTTAGGAATAAAAATTTGTTTCTTAAGGAATTCATCTATTTTTGTTGTAGTTCCCATTGGAAAACACATTTTTTTTTTTGTTAGAATAGTATAATCCCAATAAGTGACCTGTATTCATGAAGGCTAAGAATAGAAACAAGTAATGGTAGCTCAGAGGCTCAGGTTGGAACATAATGGCTCTGCCTCCTGAGAAGACGGAAGGTCTAATATTACATTAGACCACATGTGGCATCTTTATATTTGCTAAGGGATAGTTAGTGCTTGCATTTCTCAAAACAGTCTTACATTATCACAATCTGCTTTCAACTAGTTCAAAATTCAAGCTTAGTGGATTTTTTTCCACAGTAGTCATGCTAATGTAAATAGCACATTTGCAGTGAAAGTGTTCCGGTTTTATTCGTAAGATGTTTTAGGGCAGCGCTTCTCAAATTGTAATGTGCAAGATCCTTATGATCATGTTAAATGCAGATTCCAAGTCAACATAGGTGTAAGTAGGAAAGTCTGCATTTCAAACAAGCTCCCAAGTGAGGTTGGTGCCTTGCATAGTAAAGTTGTCGTTTGCAGTTAGATACCCGCTTACCAACAGAAAGTGACCAGTTAAGAAGAAACACATGCTCACCAAATGCTTATCTCAATAAATTTCTTTACACAGACTTATTAAAATCAACTTAACATACGATACACATGACACATATAACATACCTGTCTTTAGAAAAATAAATTGATTGTTTTTTTGTCTGCCATATATGCCAAATAAATGGAAAACTGAAGATAATTTTTTTGGTTAAAATGTGGTCTTCGCATTAAAATTAGTTTGAAGGGTATTTTTCTGAAAAAAGAATCTCTCTTTCTCCATATATATAATATTTAACATTTAACTTTAATTTGAAGTAACATTTGCAAGAACCATGCTGTAAGGTAGTTTCCAGGGACAAAATTGTTAAAATAGATGTTTGTAATCAATACTTAACTGATGTGAACGTTTTGTATTATGACATTAAAGAGGGAATTCTTATTTGAACTCTGCATTAGCTGAAAGTTCAGTGCATTCTGTAGCTTTCATATGAATTTATTCCACTACATTAGGTTCTAGATTTTAATATTTGTAGAGTTGGCTGAATGCAGTAGGGAAAATGTCTTTTGCTCTTAGAAGTCATGAGAACTAAGGAGTCACAAGGTGATTTAGTGCATTTAAGCCAGATTTCATCCTGTGAAATCCAGGAGCAGGTTTTTTTTTTTTTTTTTTTTTTTTTTTTTTTTTTTTTTTTTTAGCCAAAATTAGTTACTTTAAGAAACAAAGAATAGAAATTCCTTTAACAAAGAAAATTCTGTCTGGTAATCTAGTTGACATAAAGATAATAAGATACTGAATTTTTTAATGATTTCTTTGAGTCTAGGATGTGCCCAAGGAAACCTGTCCCTTGGCAGGAAAATAGTAGACATTTTCTTGAAACTATCGACTCATGCAACAACTTGGATAAATCTCAGTGGCGTTATGGTGAGTGAACAAAGTCATTCAAAAAGTTCATACTGTATTGATTCCATTATATGACATTCTCAAAAGATAAAACTATAGGGATAGAAAATAGATCGGTGATTGCCAGTGCTTGGTGGCATAAGGGAGGCTTTGATAAAGAGGCAGCATGTGGGAATTTTTTTAGGGTGATAGAAATGTATCTTATTGTGGTGATCGTTATATATATGTCTTAGAATTTATAGAAATGTGCACCACAAAAAGGTCAATTTTACTGTATGATAATTATAAAAACAAAAGAAAATAGAAAAAAGTGTGAGACAAAAAATATTAATTTACCTCAGAAACTAAATGAGCTTTTCCCATTGTATGGAGCTGAGGATTTATGAAAATTGCTTTCTTCCATATGCAGCCAGGCATGAAGCTGACTTGTGCCTCCATTCCCTGGAAGAATCCATCGGGGAAATGGTGGTAATAGAAGATGCGACTCTGTTTGCTGGATTTAGATGCCATTACTGCAAGGGCACAGAGGGCTTCATGTAGTTGCAGACAGAAACTATAATGGAAATATTACTTAACAAGGTATCACTTTATATTTCTTCTTTCTTTTTTTTTTCTTTTTTTGAGATGCAGTCTCACTCTGTCGCCCAGGCTGGGGTGCAGTGGCACAGTCGAAGCTCACTGCAACCTCTGCCTCCCGGTTCAAGTGATTCTCCTGCCTCAGCCTCCTGAGTAGCTGGGATTACAGGCATGTGTCACCACGCCCGGATAATTTTTGTGTTTTTAGTAGAGATGGAGTTTCACCATGTTGGTCAGGATGGTCTCGAACTCCTGACCTCATGATTGGCCCACCTCAGCCTCCCAGAGTGCTGGGATTACAGGCATGAGCCACCGCGCTCGGCCACTTTATATTTCTTTGAATATAATATCCCAAGTAAGAATTTGGGATTGTGGACCGGGCATGGTGGCTCACGCCTGTAATCCCAGCTACTTGGGAGGCTGAGGCAGGAGAATCGCTTGAACCTGGGAGATGGAGGTTGCTGTGAGCCAAGATAGCGCCACTGCACTCCTCCAGCCTGGGCCACAGAGTGAGACTCGGTCTCAAAACAAAACAAAACAAAACAGAATTTGAGATTGTGTTTAAATATAGTAAGTACATTTGATAATCAACTGCATGGCAGTCAAATCTTAAATTCTAAAACCACTACATCTCTGAGTCAAAAAGTTGTATTTGTGGTAGTAGTCTAAAAGAAAAATTCTCACCAACAACACCTCAGGGCATTGTAAAAAGTGTTGCTGATTCTTTTCATTAGGGTGGTAATTGCTAATTAAAGCCTAATGTATAGTGGGGCTATAAGGGCTTTTTTTCCCTCCATGTTGGAAATAAGCAACTTCCCACATCAGAACGGGCAATGGAAACAACCAGAAGCCGCATGGAGATCTGGCACGGGGGCCAGCGAGGGCAGAACGGGAGTCAGCATTGCGCTCATGGCTCTCCGAGAGGGTCTTGGCGGTGGAGCACCCTGAGGAAATGGGAGAGTTACCCATGAGGCCTGGTACACCAGCATTTCCTCTACCTTTCCTATATGCCAGGGGATTTACGAAAGATTTTTTTTATAGGAACAAATAGACTATTTATATCCCCAACAATCACCTTTTTTTTTTTAAGACAGAATCTCAAAGTCAGTTTTCAGAAAGTATGTGAGGATTTATTGCGTTCCAGGTAAAAGCAGCTGCCCATTATACGAAATCTTTTTTTTTTTTTTTTTTTTGAGACAGAGTCTCACTCTGTTGCCCAGGCTGGAGTGCAGTGGTGCGATCTCGGCTCACTGCAACCTCCACCTCCTAGGTTCAAGCGATTCTCCTGCCTCAGCCTCCCGAGTAGCTGGGATTACAGGAGTGCACCACCACGCCCAGCTAATATTTTTGTATTTTTAGTAGAGATGGGGTTTTACCATGTTCGTCAGGCTGGTGGTCTCCAACTCCAGATCTCAATGATCCGCCCACCTCGGCCTCCTGAAGTGCTGGGATTACAGGTGTGAGCCACACCGTGCCTGGTACAACAATCACCTTTGACACTTCATATTATAGCAGAGAATGTCTTTCCTCTTGATTATTCAAGAAAAAATATATAAATGTATACATTCATTTCTATACAATTATGAGCTAAACAATACTGAATATATCTTATTAGATTTAAATAAAATTTAAGTAACAATTTTATTTCATCATTTCTAATAGTACGAGTTAAATAGATACTATGAGTAGAATTTGTTGTATGGATAAATGGAAGTAAGCATGGATATGTTTGTATATAATAAAATACAGTCAGCATGAATTTTATCCAATTTTTAAATAAACATAGAGTTATAAATTAAAATTAACCAGCCATACCAACCCATTTGAATCTATAGTTTCCTACAAGGGAATGAAAGGCAAAGTAATAGCGAGCCTCCAAATGTTTTAGTCACGCAGTGTAGAGCATCCACAAATCATCTCACCCCTCTGTCGGGGGGCGCTGTGGGGCGCCCCAGCTTCACTAGTAGTGCTTCTCTGAACTCATGCCTGCACCTTTTCTGCTGGAAGCCTGAACAATGATGCAGAGATACTGTTTTCTTTGTTGTAGAAAACAGCAGAAGGTCTGTGCTCACGAGGGCAATATTAGGTCCTCATCAGCTGTGGCTTGTTATCTCCAGCACATCAATGAATGGAGAAAATAAGATTTAAACAAAGATCAGTGTCTCCATTCTCTAACATTTTACTCAAAATATTGGTTAGGTTAGACTCCACACCCACCAAAACCCAAAACACATTCCGTCTCACAGATGCTCTACATTCTTTCAATACAGAAACCTTACGACAAAGCCTACAATATACACTTGTTTTGGTAAAATAATTGGTCCAGTTAGTAAAAAATGAGTTGAATTAGTGTTCTCCCTCTCACATATTATAACTTTTTTCAATTACAGAGATGTTTACAGAATTTATCTGAGGTGCTTTCTGTGTATCTCTGAAAACACCTTCGTAATAGTAGGCACACCCTGGCTAGTGGTTCTCGGCCCTGGCTGCTCACTGGCATCACCAGGAGAGCTCTGGACATACTGAGGCCTGAGCCCTTCCCCCAGACACTAATTTAATGGGACTGTGGTGGGGCCTGGGCATGGATGTTTTTAGAAGCATCTGCTGATAGATAAGCAATAAATACGAGTTTATTAACTACACATGGTGATTTGATTTCCTTGGATTCTTCCCTGATTTTCTGATCCATTGGCCCGTATATGAACAGGCTAACTTCTAGTGTGTGAAAAGACTGACAGGATATTAACCTGGCTAAGCGTCTTTGAAAATATAAACGGAGGGACCATGCCTGAAAAGAGTTATGAAAAAAAAAAAAAAAAAAAACAGAAAATATGCACCTGAGAGGGGCGCAAAGGAAGCAGGCGAATGTGGGGTCTTGGAGAAGTCACTCCTGATCTTGAGTTTCTATGAGTACACATTAAAGGAAGTCATTGCAGTTTTCTATGTACTGTGCATTTGGATATTTTCACAAACCGAAACAATAATTCGCTGTTTCGGGAAGGGGAACAGATAATGTGTTCTAACGTAGCATCTTTACTTTCTCTATTATTAGAAACATTTTAAAAATCTATCTTTCTTTGGCTTGGCATGGTGGCTCACAGCTGTAATCCAGCACTTTGGGAGGCTGAGACTGGCAGAATGCTTGAGGTCAGGAATTTGAGACCAGCCTAGCCAATATAGTGAAACCCTGTCTCTAGTAAAAGTACGAAAAACATTAGCCGGGCGTGGTGGCGCATGCCTGTAGTCCCAGCTGCTTGGGATGCTGAGTCAGGAGAATCGCTTGAACCCCAGAGGCAGAAGTTGCAATGAGCCAAGATCATGCCATTGCACTCCAGACTGAGAGATAGAGCGAGACCCCATATAAAAAGAAAAAGAAAAAAATTATCTTTTTTTGGAGTTTGTCAAATGTATTACCACTTTGATTATTATTAGTGAAACTTGGTGAGTTATATCAAATGATCAGTGATAGGAGATAATATCTACAAGATTTAATGATTGACTATAGGGAAGGAGAAGAGAAAGGAATAGATTTCTAAGTCAAATTCCATTGATAATGATGAGAATCATAGGGGGAGGAGTCAATGGGTAGGAGAAAAAATATTTGGTTTAGGACATGCTGAATGTGAGGAGCCTGTGATAAAGGATAGGATAATATGAAAAGCTTCCAAAAGGAGTACACCAGATTATGAGATCTACCTTTTCCCCAAACTAATAAAGGGAAAAAATATTAACTCCATTGTTAATTCTCCATTGATCCTGATGAAACGTCAGTACTGCTGATGAGATGTAAAAATAAAAAGCAGCAAGACTAAAGTTCTCCAAGATTCCTCTAGGATATGTTTGGTGTCTGCATTTGCATTTACTGTCATTTAATCTACGTTATTCAAGATGCTTTCTATTTGGAACCCCAAAACAAATGGTTGAATGGGCTTGCTCTGACTATCTATTTCCACAGAACAACCACCCAAAATTTAGTGGCTTAAAAAATGACAGCATTTATTTTGTTTATGAATATGCAATAACTCCGCATGGTTTGGGGATGGCTCAAAGACCAGGGGCGAGGATCATCTGCAGGCTCATCCACTCACACATCTAGTGGTTGATACTAGCTGTTGGATTTCCATGTGGCTCTTCAGCTTCCTCTCAGCGTAGTAGATGGATCCAATGGTGAGTGTACCAGGAGAGCAGAAGGGAGCCAGGCATAGGTGTCTGGCCTTTCCTAACTGAGCTGAGGAAGTCACATGGTGTCATTTCTACCATATTACAGTCATTAGAAGTGAGCCAGTAAATCTGGCTCATATTCAAAGAGAGGGAAATTAGACTCTATTTTTAAATAAGTGTTAAAGAATTTAAGGGCATATTTTCAAACTGCCAGAGGGATCTCAGAAGGCTCTGCCACCTACAACCAACTATTTCTTTGCATTTTAATAGAATTTTTAAGAGAAATCATAGCTGAAGCTGAGGTTATATTTTGGAGTCGTCACAGTGAAAGAAATAAAGTACATGTAATTTGATATTTCAGAGCATTTTTCCCTTTGTCCAAGACATTTTAAATTTGAAATATGGTTTTGGCAGTTTTGTAAGAGATATTACGTAAATTGAAAGGAGAAGATGAGTTTTGGGGTCAATCTTAAAAATTCATTTTGGAGAAGCACAGCATTTGCACAGCATCCCTCTGATTTCATGCCATTTGTATAAAAGAGCTGTGCTTTCCCAGGAGTGGAAACTACATTATTGGAAAAATATAGGTTCTTTAGGGTAAATGATAGCACAAAGATAGTAAATGTCTTTTCATTTGAAATAACCTTTGTGGAAATGCTATTATTCTCAATATATTGTAAAAGAGATGAATCAGAACAGTGTTAGAAACTATTTAATGGATCATCTATCTGTGACATATTATAAAGCTAACTGTTGAATTACCACTTGGCTAAAGGAGGCATCATGGCCAGAAAGGGTTCAGCTTTGGAATCCACAACCATGGTTTTGAATCTTGGTTTGACTTTTCTTTGCCGAGAGATCTTGAAGTTTTGTTATGAGGATTAGAGCACAATTCCTGGTATCTGCTCTCTGGCTGACACTCAGAAACTGAGACTTGTCATTAAGATTGTGATGGTGAGATGATGATGAGAAATTGTTTGACTATCTCAGGAATAGTAGAAATTATTAAAATATTGAATTGTACCCATGAGACCATGTGGCCAGGCAAGAAGAATGAGATAGGCCCTTTCTTCAAAGTATATGATTTTTTTTATTATTGAAGAAATTATTCATAAACACTTGAAAACAAAGCATATTCAAAGTTTTAAACTGTACCTAAAAGATAGTGCCATAAGAGTTGTGAGCTTTTGCTAAAAACTTTGACCTTAAAATGGGCAACTCATGAACTATGAATTATTTTAAGGGTCTAATTTATTGCATTTTTTGATTCATATGAATTTCCCTTGACAATGTTAATTCAGTTATCAGGGCAAATGAAAAAATAAGCTCTGTAAATTAAAATACAGAAATATTTACATATTGTGGCTTGTCTCTGGAACTTTTATAATGGGATATTATATTTTAACATAATGTTGGCATAAAATATTATAATCAAGATATCAGCAATATAGTTACAAGTTGTTCTTTCAAAACACAGGGTCATAACTCACAGGTACCTAATTTCAAAATACTTGGCATAATTTACAATTTATAAATCTATAATCTCTTTAAGGCTAATTGTTCTAATGTATAATTAATGCACTAGTGCCATGACTAACTTTTAAGAATGCTGCATTTTCCACACCAGTTTATTGATAACCTAAAATATTGCAGTCATTCTTGTAAAAAGTTGTTAAAGATGTCTCTGTAAAATATAATGGCAAATGCTGGCTATTTTATGAATGGGAATTACAATAGTAAATAGTAAAACTGAAAATATTTTCCAAGAATAAATGTGCTTCATGTGGGTTTGATCAGCACATCTGATTGAAGATTTGAGGTGAGATACATTGTCCCCATTAAGTTTAAGGGTTTCAGCGCAAAATTAGCTGATCTACTCTTTGAAACGCAGAGCATTTGTGAAAATGCCAAATGCATCTCTGTTAGAATCTCATCCATGAGCAAATGAGTAATGTAAGTCAGATACAATGGTTAATTCTGTGGTTTGCCAAATCTGTACACTTTCCTGTTACTTTGTAGATTGTAAAATAATGATGCAGCGTTCACCCTAATGATCAATTGTTTTCCTTACTAAAATGTAAGCATTTAAAAGATCTGCCTAATTTTTTCTAAGTGTATGTTAGGCAGATCTATACTTCCAACTCCTAAAGCATTCTTCTAAAGCAGTTTATTAGAGCGCACACTAATGGCTTATCAATTAAGCAAACACGATCAGTATTGAGCACTTGCTCTGCTCCAGGGTGCCGGTGCTAGGTTCACGTGCATCAGGGAGACAGAGTCATTGTCCTCATGAAGCTTACAGGGGGGCAGATTGATTGAACCGACACCTCTGATTCCCTTTTAAGCCTGTAAGCAGCTGCTCCGTAAAGCACGTGTTTCAAACACAACCACCTTCAGAGACGAGGTGATTCTGTTGAGTGGGTGAAGCAGGCCAGGCATGAGGCCGCAAGCAGTGGTTTAGACCAGTTCATTGGAGAATCCCTGCCTTATTAAAAGTATTTCCTTCCAAAAATGTGAAAGGAAGACTTGTCCTTTCCCCCAAATCATTTAGAAAGCTTGCTTTGTCACCTCTGCTTCTAAGGAGTCCTGGTTGGTCTCCAAAAGGAAGCTTTCTCTAAAGAACAGTGTAGTACAAAGTAAGATGGGACAAGACTAAGGGGGCCCACTCCTGAGCTGCTCAGCCACTTGCCCACCTCAGGTAAACACTGAGCCCGGTGGTCTTTCAGTCATTCCAGGTCTGATGTTCTACAGTTTTGTCAGGTTATCTGGGAGAAATTTTGATGCTGAAGACTCCCGAAAGTAGGAGAAGCATTTCAAACTGAGGCCTAAGATGTTTTCAAGTTGTGGCAGAGTTGCCTTGAAGAAGGTAACTCGGGCTTTGCCCTTTGCCCTTTTGCCCTTTGCCCTTTGCCCTCACCTGCAGCCAGCACATCCATACCTCACCTCTAATACAGCAACCCCTGTTTGACATGTTGTATATATTAAGCTTTTACTTAAGATGTCATTTAATGAAAAAGATTTTGCTGCTTAAAAAGCAGTGGAGAATAATAGCTAGCCTCTTGAGTACACAGTCCTGTAAGATTTGAGCACATGATTTTTAGAAAAAGAATAGAAAATAAGAGAAAATTATAACCTCACTTTACCTGTCGGGATATTGACATCCCTGTCAGATTTCACAAAGCCACATGTGCATCTGGTGAAATCCCAGATCCACCCTTTCTAACTGTATGCTCTTAGGTAGCCAATTAATCTTTCTAGGACTCAGTTTTCCATTCATTAAATGGGAAACTTAACACATAGGGCTTTTGAGAGGGTTACATGAGTCAATACAAGCAGAGAACTTAGTACTTCCTCTGTCACGTAGTAAGCACTCCTTGTTATCCTTGGATTTTGTGGTACTTTGGAGGAGAATGGCACTCGGATCTCTGTTGGTATAATTTTTACCAAAGTAAAATCTGGTTGAAATAGCATTCAGATTTAGGCTTAAGGAGAGGATATTTCTTAGAAAGGAAGGCTAAGCTTAATGGGGGAAAAGAGTTATCAGTGAGGCCTTGGGGCAGGGGACTGACTCCACTGGGCATTACTTGTGCAAAAGGGATAAAATGTAGAGAGAGTTTTTTTTTCTGGTATATTATTTTATTCCATTAAAGTCAGTGTTCTACTTTTATTTTGTAAAATCATATTTCTGAGTCCTGAACAAAAGACTTTCAAGATTTTACTGACAGAGAAATGGAGTGCCACATTCCATAGCTTTGCATATAGAGCTTCACATGCAAAGCTCTTTGCATCTCAAGGGCTAAAACAGGCTGACTTACAGCAAGTAGCTTTCCTGTAAACTGTAAAGTAGAAGAGAACGGAGACAGCTATGAAGGTGGGAAAAATGCCTCCTGCAGAAGAAGAGCAGACATAGGGGAGCATAAATAGTATACCCTGCCTGGACCCTGAGAAGGACCCAGACCCGCATGGTGCATATTGAGAGAGACATGGCTGTGGATGCTCATTACTTGGGATTCTCAGTGATGCCTCAATCCACAATTTTGTATTAATAAAAAAGCCTTTAAAATATTTGCATCTAGGAATCAAAGTGTCATTCAATGACTTATTGGTCCTCAAATGACAGCTTGGGGTTATACCTTATTTTCTATATCATGGAGTAACTCCTGCACTATATTCATTCTAGGAGAATTAACTATGTCAATTCTTATGTTCATCTCTTCCTTGGCTGATTATTTGTTAGGGAAAAAGCTTTTGCTTGTTTATTAACTTGTCTCCTTCCTACTCTTCTGATTATTATTTTGTAATTAAAACAGGATTTTAAAATTCATAGACACTAAAATATTCTAGACTTTTAGCACTGGTTTCTAATATTTTGGGAGGAGAAGCTTCATTTTTTCTTGAAAATGAAGGTGTAAAGATACTAAATTCCTTGAGTGGAACATCTGGGCTTCATAGAAACTTTGGAGCTATATGATAGTTAGAGAGAATGTAGACAGGGTTCCTCATTGTATAGATAATGAAACAGGACCAGAGAGGCTGAGTGACTTGTAGAAGGTCCCCCAGTGAGTAGCAGATCCTGGATGCATGCAGCATTGCTAACTCTGAGAGCTAAGTCCTCATCATGTCCCCACCTTCACCACACCACACAGTTCAGGAGAAGGGGCACATCTCTAGAATATGGCTGGAAAATACACTAGGGAAAACTTTAGATCCACTAGCAGAGTCCAGTGCTCCTCTTGGAGAAAGTGACCAGAAAGAATAAGGCACAGTTAGCTGTTGAAGAAAAGCTGATTTCTCAGCCAGATTATATACATTAGCATCCATGTTAGTTACCTTTGCTGAATAATTCTTTCCTCAACTCAGCTCTCTGAAGAAACCTCCAGGAATTAGCAGGGCTTTGAGTAGAGATGGCATATGTTTGGGCCCTGATGAAAATGATAAAATTGTGGCCTGGTTGCAGCTTGTGTGCTGAAGGAAGAGCATGATGCAGTTCATTGGTATGAAAAATGAATGCAACTAAAACCTAAACATTAAAACTTGGCCTTTATTACCAAAGTGAAAGTGCTTCTAATTGAGGCTCCCTGGGTTTTAATTGTTCTTCAGGAAAATTAGATGTTGTCAAAGTAGAAGGTTAATGTCTGTTCACAGTCTGGAGTTTTTGGAATAACTTCCTTCACAGCGTGTGTGTTTTAAACATAAAAAGGGCTTTTTGGTTTGTATATAGTTAGTGGGATTACGACTGCCTCACTAGATGCTTACAACAAATATTTAAGAAATCCATAAGTCTACTATTTATAACAGAATAAACATTTAAATGTAAGATATTTTGACCATTTTGGTAAAACATTTAAAAAATAAACTATCATGAACTGACAAAACCAACATCATTTAAAAAAATTCAACATGGCAAAAACTTTATGAGACTTATACCATAGACCAAATTTGTAACTTTAGCCTTGATACATTACTGCTTGTAAATAGAAATGTTCTTACTATGAAGTGATGTGCTCAGATACACCCAAAATTTATTAAAGGCATGTCAACAGCCAAATTCTGTGGTACAAGGTTTTTCATACATTATTTTACATAACCTTTGAGGAATTCCAATTTTATATTCCCATTTTCAGAAGAGTTGGTTAGTTACTGAATTCAACAAATGAGTGTGAGCAGGGGCCTGGAGTACTTAAAAAGAATAAACAAAATGCCTTTAAATCAGAAAGACAAAATTGCTAGTAATTTCAGTTAATTGCACTTTACTCCATGTAGCTACAATTGTAGATATCTAGAAAAAATATCTATGCTAAAAGTCTGCCATCTGGAAAAGTCAAAAGAATGATGAGCTGGTATTAAATCTCAGTAACCCTGGCATATGGAGTATCTCTGCCATGTTAAGAGCAGACCTTGGTATGAGACTGACTCTGGGCTTTACATATGAATTTGGAATTGCCAATATCTCCACTTGAACTATGTGAGACAATAAAAGTGCTCCCTTATACACTTTAGATAATGGGCCCTTTGGGGGATCTGATGTTCATTCTGCCTTTCCCAGAAAAATACAACTATAATAAAATGTTGTAATCAGTTTCAGTTTATTTATTGCTGATCTTTTATTTTTGTTTTAATTTAACATGGCAATCCACTTTCTATAGTCAAAAGTGCAATTTAAAGAACTCTAACAACTCACAATATAGAAGAATGTCTTTGGAAATTTTAGGATTCAAATCTAAAACAAATCTTAAGATTTCTTTTTCCTAGATTGTACTGATGTTACAAGTGCCTTATGTAATACCCAGTTCTTCCCCATGGAGATTTCTCAGTGAAAGAGCCACATCACATGTTCACAAGAGCATCAAGAATAAGAGGGCCACGTACCTAGGAAGAAAGATTGGCAAGCATTCTCTCTCCCCCATCAAATATAAATGGATTTAGCACAGGGATTTGGTTTAATTCACTGCTGCCAGCACCTAGAACAATGCTTGAAATTTTTAATATGACAATGCACAATTCAAGAGGAAATAATAATATTGTATTAGTCTGTTCTCACACTGCTATAAACACATGCCTACGACTTGGTAATATATGAAGAAAAGAGGTTTCATTGACTCACAGTTCCACAGGCTGTACAGGAGGCATTGCTGGGGAGGCCTCAGGAAACTTAAAATCATGGCGAAATGCAAAGGGGAAACAGGCACATCTTCACATGACTGGTAGGAAAGAGAGAGCTGAGAGGTGCTATACACTTTTACAACCATCAGGTCTCTTGAGAACTCACTATAATGAGAATAGCAATAGCAAGAGGGAAGTCTGCTCCCATGATTCAATCACCTCCTCCAACATTGTGGATTACAATTCGATATGAGACTTGGGTGGAGACACAGAGCCAAACCATATCAAACATTAGTACGTGAAAGTAGTTATTATGATAAAACATATTTTAACCAACATACAATTAGTTATATGATTTTTATAATGTTTTCAGTGTTAAAATTTTTGAAAAAACTGCAGAAAAACAAGTGGAAGTGAACAAAATTACATTGACAGTAGTAAGTTGTAATGTTTAATTCTTTTAATGTTTCAGTGGGAGCTAGAAATTGGTTTGATATAATTTTTAGTTCAGTTGGAATACTCCACTTCTCCACTTTGCCTAATATATGCTGCAGCAATAAATTAATTTTCCTTCTGAGATTTCTAATAATTTGGGGAGTGCTTATTTGCAAAGAATTGAAAAAAAAGTGACACAAATTGATATATCATGCAAACTATGTGGTTTTGTATTTTCAACTAATTGCTGAAGAGCACTTATACGCAAAAAATATCAGATTCCTCAAAGAAGAGATATTTAAGGCAAGTAAAGAAATGTATAGGTCAGTTTCCTTCAAATAATTTTATTTCTTACTCTTAAAAATCTTTTATTTCAGATTCAGGGGCTACATGTGCGGGTTTGTTACATGGGTGTATTGCATGGTGCTAAGGTTTGGGCTTCTATTGATTCCCTTACCCAATACTAAACATAGTACCTAATTGGTAGTATTCAAACCCTGCTGCCTTTTCTCCCACCCTATTTTTGGAGTCCCCGGTGTCTACTGTTCCTATCTATATTTTCCAGTGTTTAGCTCCCACTTATAAGTGAGAATATGCAGTGTTTGTTTTTCTGTTTCTGCTTTAATTTGCTTAGGAAGTGGTCCCCAGCTGCATTCATGTTGCTGCAAAGGACATGATTTTGTTCTTTTTATGGCTGTGCAGTATTCCACCGTATATATGTACCACATTTTCTTTATCCAGTCCATTGTTGATGGGCACCTAGGTTGATTCCATGTCTTTGCCATTGTGAATAGTATTTTGATAAACATATGAGTGCAGGTGTCTTTTTGGAAGAATAATTTATTTTTCTTTGGGTAGCTACCTAGTAATGGGATTGCTGGGTCAAATAGTAGTTTTATTTTTAGTTCTCTGAGAAATCATCAAACTGCTTTCCACAGGAGCCAAATTAATTTACATTCTCTCCAACAGTTTATAAGTATTCCCTTTCTCTACAGCCATGCCAATATCTGTTGTTTTTTGACTTTTTAATAAGAGCCATTCTGACTGGTGTGAGATAATATCTCATTGCATCTTTTTGATAATTAACGATGTTGAGCATTTTTTTCATATGCTTCTTGGCCACTTGTATGTCTTCTTTTGAGAAATGTCTGTTCCTTTTGCCCACTTTTTAATGAGGTTATTTGGGTTTTCTGTTGATTTGTTTAAGTTCTTTATAAATTCTGGATATTTGTTTTTTGTTGGGTACATAGTTTACAAATATCAAATATTTTCAATCTGGAAACTTGGATCTTTTATTTTTATGATGATAAATTGAGGCATATTGCAAGAAAAACATTTGAATCAGAATATTTACCAATATTATCATAATAGTGAATTATATTTTTACTTGTCCCTACATTTTGGTAATAACAATTAAATTTTGCTAAATAATAATTAAGTGCTGGTCCAAGATGGTGGACTGATTATTCTTCCAGGGGGCCAATTTCAATGACAATAAATGAGAAAATGATGTGAATCAGTAACAATACTAATTTAAGCTAATTTCTATATTTCTATAGTGTACATGTTCTTTGAAGCAACAAGTATCTATCACTGTAAGAATAAGACATTTGGAAAATGTCTTATATATATGAGATATGTCATATATATGTATGTAAATAAACCATAACGTTTCTGTGGTATATGATGTGAGCTATTTTCAAATATGTGAGTTCCAACCTCCCTCTGTTAAGGAACATTTAACTTTCAGTGATTCATGTCACTTCTGAGACCAACTGTCCCCAGCCTCTGAGATTCAGATAAAAACAAGTATCCTTAGCTCTAGATTAATCCAATGGCACTGAGCATCTATGGTGATGAAAGATATATTTTCGGTAGTCATTTTACCAAAGATGGTGCTGTGAAAACCATCAAAATATAAATCATGGCCTTAACCATCTATCTGAGAAGACAAGACTAATACACTTGAAACACAAGAAACAAATGCAAGAGAATATAAATATACTTGTCATTGAATTTTGCAATACAGCCTACGAATGTTATAGAGGCTCATCTAAATGAGGAAGTCAATGATGCATAGTATAATCAAGATATGCTTCCTAGAATACATTGTGTAGATGGATTTGAATAGGCAGATGGATAAAGATGAACATTTAAGACATGAGCAAATGCCTACACACCTGAAAAAATGTGGCAAGTCTGTATAGGAGAGAAGAACATCTCTGAGGGCTTGAGCTACAGTGTGATAAGGAGCTCATTTGAATAATCTGGTGGAATCAGATGGGCTATGGAAGCCTGATGGAGTAACACAAGCAGATAATCAGCAAAGATGCTTATCAGCTCTAAGAAGGACTAGAAAAAAATTTCAGAATATAAACCAAGGAAATAATTTTTAAATGTATAAAATTTAACCTAAATATAATTCTATAATGTAAACAGAAAAAAATAATTGACTGGAAACTATTTTCATCAAATATGAACATTATAAATTACTCTCATGGGTTACTCAATGTACTTTAAATTTTAGACATTTTAAAATGATTCAATTTTTAAATTTGTCTTTAAATTTATATATAATATATTTGAGATATAAAAAAACCAAACTATTTTTCTTAGTCTCACACACTCACCACTCAATACATTACTTCACCTCTGGTCACCAAAATATGTATGGATTTTTCCCCGCATGCAAAGGAATTCTCCAGCAGACACCACCAGGTTGGCCTATTATTGAATTCAATTCTGACACTATCTACTTGGATATAGGGTCAGATCCCACACAGTAAGGGCACAGTCTCACAGGACTTCCCTTCACTTTAGATGCCAATTGCAGGTCCCAGAATGTGACCTGTACTTCTGGCCAACTGGCTATAAATTGGAGGTTCCCATTACCCCCTGTTTAGGTTCAATTAATTTGCTAGAATGGCTCACAGAAATCAGGGAAACACATTATTTACATTTACTCATTTATTACAAAGGATGTTACTAAGGAAAGTAATGAACAGTTAGGTGGAGAAGCTGCATAGGGCAAGCTTGTCCAATCTGCCTTATTTTGTTGAGGTTGTTGTTGTTGTTGTTGTTGTTGTTGCTGTCCTGTTTTGTTTTGCTTTAGACTTTTAGCAACCTGAAGCCATGGTTTTTAGTTTCTGTCTATAGTGATAAGCAGAAAAGAGGAAGGAGGAAGGGGCTTTACTGGCCCAACTGGGAACAGAAACTAAGAACCCATGACTGTATTCCCTCCCTTGGACATCACTGAAGGCATGAGAGAAGGTGTAGGGAGCTTCCGTGCCCTCTCTGGTATGCCACCCTCAGGTACCTCCATGTGTTCAGCAATTCAGAAGCTCTCCAAACTGATTTTGGGGTTTTATGAAAGCTTCATTATGTAGAAATGATTGATTACCTCATTGGCCATTGGTAATCAACTAAATTTTCAGCCCCTTTCCTCTTCCTGGGGAATAAGGGGTTGGGGCTAAAAGTTCATATCCTCTAATTACATGGTTGGTTTTCATGGCAATCAGCTCCTATTCTAAGGCTATCCAGGAGCCTACCAAGAGTCACCTCATTACAGCAAGAGATGCTCCTATAATCCAGGATATTCCGGGGATGTAGGAGCTCTGTATCAGATACTCCTATCACTCAGGAAATTAAAAAGTTCTTCGGAGCTCTGTGTCAAGAACCAGGGTCAAAGACCAAATATAAGAACAAAAGATACTCCTAGCATCCCTATCTGCAAGGGTTTTAGAAGCTCTGTCTCAGGAATTAGGGACAGAGACCAAATACATAATTTTTATTATATCACAATATCACATGGCATAATTCACTTTTATATTTTGTATATAGTTCAATAAGTTTTACCAAATGCATGAAGTAATGTAGCTACCACTACAATCAGTAACACAGAATAGTCTCATCACCACAAAACAACTCTCCCTGGAATCCCCTTTGTAAGCACTCTCTACTGATATGTAACCTCTAGAAACCACTGATCTGTTTTCTGCTCCTATAATCTGGTGTACTTCAGAGTCTCAGAAAAATGTGATAATAGGAAATGAATGATAAAAAGCTATAAAACCTACAGAAAACAAATAGCAGAGTGCCAATAGTAAGTTCTTCCCTTTAAATGTAAATAGATTAAACTCTGCAGCCAAAAGATATAGATTGGCAGAATGGATTTTTTTAAAAAAATCCACACAGGATCCAACTCTATTCTGTCTATAATAAACTCACTTTAACCCTAAGTACAAGCACAGGTTGATAGTGGAAATACGGCAAAATATATTCTATGCAAATAGTAATAAAAAGAAAGAAGGGTGCCTATACTATCAGCCAAAATAGACTTTAAGTGAAAAACTCTTATAAGAGACAAGGAAGGGCATTATATAATGATAATAGAATCAGTTCACCAAGAAGACATAACAGTTTTAAACATATATGGACCAAACACCAGAGCTTCAAAATATATGAAATATTTTCCTAAATCAGAGTCATGGTTATTTTCTCCTAGATTATCTTGTAAAGTTTTATAATTTTACATTTATGTCTATAATCCATTTTTAATTTTTTATAAAGAGGGAGTTATAAGTAGAGGTTTATTTTTCACATAAGATGCCAAATTATTCCAGCACCATTTATTAAAAAGAAAATTCTATCTGTTCTTTGATCTTTATCAAAGATCAATTGACCATATATGTGGGCATCAGTTTATGGATTCCCTATTCTGTTACATTGACCTGCATGACTATCTTGATTACTGTAACTTAAGTCTTAACATCAGATAGTGTGATTCCTCTAACTTTGTCATTTTCAAAATTATTTTAGAATTTTTGCCCCTTTACCATGCCCTATACAATTTAAGAATCAGTTTGTGCTTTATCAGGATAAGAAAATTGCCTTTATTTGTACTTCGCTGAGAGTTTTCATAATAAGTGGATATTCAATTTTGTCAAACATTTTTATGTACCTAGTTGTGTGACTGTTAGATTTTATCAAAGCATTGTAAGAAAATTGCTATGAGTAATGCAGAGGATTAGCTCTTCTTGTTATTCCCAGATCAGCCCTATATTTTGACTGGAATTTTTCATTTCACTAATATGTATCTAGAGGACTGTATATTCTTCCCTATTTATTTAAGCAATTATTTATATACATTTAGAATTAAAAATAATTTAATACTTTGGGATATAATTCAATACTACTTTGTTTATTTTATTGCACAAATTGTTCTAGTTTTGGCCACTGGGAGTTCTTTCTGTTGGCTCCTGTATTCCTTTGATATACCCCCATCATTGAGGGTTTTTTAAATGTGGTTTATTATTAATGAAATTAAAATGATCTATTCATAGCACCTGAGATGATTTCAGATATCATATTATGCAAGCATTAAGATAATATTAAGAATTAGACTGGTAAATGAAAATCATAGAATCAGAGTACTTACTCAATGTCAAGTTTTGCTAATAATTGCAATAACACAAGCAGTTATATGACACAAGTGAAGCAGAAAGTGTTCTGGGACCCCAATGTGACTTATTGGGTCATTTCTTCTCACATGAGATGTGTTCTGGTACAGATCTTGCACAGAAGAAGCCACTTAGGTCATGAATTACTGAGTTACATAGTTTATGTGACATTTTCCTTGGAGCCATCCCCTGTAAACCTAAAGATTCCAGGTCTATTTACACAGGTGATTCTAGATAGGCAGCTATATTTTACTATATGTATTTCATAGTTCTCTCTTGCTAGCCAAGGTCACATACTTTGTTTGCCAGGAGAGCTGCCATTATAATGTTTACAAGGCAATTAGACAAGATAATATGCTTTCTTTCTTCCTTTGATGCATCACCCAAACTCTGCCATGAGAGAGAAGGGCATGCAGGTCTACTTCATAAGTCCTTTCTTTCTAGATATTCTGGTACAGTATTTTAATGTATTTTATGATACAGATACTCTAGCATTTAATATATTTTAATGTATCATGTTTAATATAAGCTCGATAAAGAATCATCACTTCACATACTTTGGATAATAATTGTACACAGTGCAAATTCATGGAGAAAATAATCAGAACCATTAATGCTGATAATTTTGGGGCATTTAAACCTTTTTCAGGTCAATGGATTAATAGATTTATTAGCTCTTGCAGAGTGCAAGCATATTACAGATTTATAGTATAAGTGGTTAAAAACATTTTTATTTCACTGAAAATTCATGTAAAGTGAAGCTTTTGCAAAACTGTAACCTTTATGCTTTTAATAAAACAGTATTTCTGTTGTACATGATAATGATTTTGTTCTGGAACACTATGTATAAGCAGATTTTGAATTGAAGGCAGTGGAGCAAGTCTGTCAAAAATCAATTCAATTGATTTCCATTTATGTAGATGCATTGAGTTTTACAGTGGTTGAAGCTCTCTTTAAATTGATTGGATTCAGAATGCAGGCCAGTGGTCCGCATCCATATTCTACACCGTTTCTCCAAAACTTGGTAAAGAAAAATGCTTTAGAAACTTTCCTGAACAAATAATATAAAGATCATACCAACTATATGTTAACCAATTAGTTATGAAATCTAAAATTATTAGGGTTACATTTCAAAAGTGAAGTTACTAAAAAGGTGAAATTCAAATCTAATAGAAATAGGGTAAAATGCAGAACATTTATGAAACATAAAAGAGGGACTATCTGTGTTAGCAATTAAGGGCTGTAGCAATTTCTGATATCAGATTCCAAATTTGAAGAGATCCAGACACTTCATACACAGGTTTATTTTGCCCTAATATTTTGTCTTATTGAGAATTGTGGTAAAGAGAGAAGACCTGAGTTTCATTCTTATAATGGTTTGAGACATGAGGAAGTCACTGAACATTTCTGGACGTAACTCACTTGCATGATTTCAACTATCACATATACTTGGATGCTTGAATTACAAACCTATGTAGACTAGACTTTCCTGCTAAGCTGAAAAGCTGTATATGAACATTTCTTTCATGTTAGCTCCAGTTGACTGTTTCTCAGGTACTTTCAATTTCACATGTCCCAAATTTTTCTGATTTTCCTCTGGCCTCTGAATGCCCTTTCTCTGTGAGCAGCATCGTCACACACCTTGTCACCCAATCTCAAAAATGGAAAGACACCTTCCAAGTAGCCTCTTCTCACCACCCTTATCCTATTCCACACCCTGTTTCAAACACTGTGAAGGTTTTTGGAGTAGCTGTTCAAAGGACCTACCACAATTAGTTTCTGAAAAGAACAAAAAAATTACTAGCTCCAGCTGGTTGACCATCACAATTGAGATCATGCTTGATTCTGCCTCTGATGTAAGATTTTCATTGCTCAAGGCAGTCAATAAATTTTGATTCTTAAAGACACACTCTGATAATTTTCTGTGAAGTAGGAAACTCACTCAAGAAGACCAGCCTTTGAGTGGTATCACAGTCTAGACTTTAAATTTATAAGGTGGAAATGGGCTGTAGTTGGAATAGATTCTTAGCTCTGTGGATTCTATTTCTATCACAGCTCTCCTATCCACCTCTCTCTCCGTTGCCCATGAAATGGCCTAAATCCAGGCCTTTAACACTTTTTATTTGAATTATTATGGAAATAGTTAACTGTCCTTACTGCCTCCAGACATGCTTCCCTCTAGCTTCCTCCTTCATATTGATGTGCAATGATATAAACTCCAAATCTGATCCAAGTCTGCTGAAAAGCCTTTAATAAATGACTTCCTACATTTTTTCAGGAAAAAGTTTAAGTTTTGTGGCTCATCACATACCACATTTTTTGAATGAATATACAGTAAAATAAAAAGTAGTAGAAATACCATTTGACCCAGCAATCCCATTACTGGGTATATACCCAAAGGATTATAAATCATGCTGCTATAAAGACACACACACACACACGTATGTTTATTGCGGCACTATTCACAATAACAAAGACTTGGAACCAACCCAATGTCCAACAATGATAGACTGGATTAAGAAAATGTGGCACATATACACCATGGAATACTATGCAGCCATAAAAAATGATGAGTTCATGTCCTTTGTAGGGACATGGATGAAGCTGGAAACCATTGTTCTCAGCAAACTGTTGCAAGGACAAAAAAACAAACACCCCATGTTCTTACTCATAGGTGGGAACTGAACAATGAAAACACATGGACACAGGAAGGGGACCATCACACACCGGGGACTGTTGTGGGGTTGGGGGATGGGGGAGGGATAGCATTAGGAGATATACCTAATGCTAAATGATGAGTTACTGGGTGCAGCACACCAACATGGCACATGTATACATATGTAACAAACCTGCACGTTGTGCACATGTACCCTAAAACTTAAAGTATAATAATAATAAAAGAAAAAAAAGTAGTTGAATGAATATAGAGTAAACAAAAATGGGTGGGCCTCATGCTTCTATAAAATACAAGGCTTTATTAGGTAAATTAAAAGTTTCTTAAGCTTCCAACATTTTCTTATTCCACAGGAAGCTGTAAAATTTTCTGCACTGGATCCACACTTTGTCTTTATATTCTCCTCTCAGCACACCATTTCCCAATATTTGGTAACCCACAGGTTAGCATCGAAAATAAACAAGTCAGGGTGGCTGGCAAGGTGGCCAAATAGGAACAGCTCTGGTCTGCAGCTCCCAGTGAGATCAACGCAGAAGGCAGAAGGTGGGTGATTTCTGCATTTCCAACTGAGGTAACCAGCTCATCTCATTGGGACTGGTTAGACAGTGGGTGCAGCCCAAGGAAGGTGAGCTGAAGTAGGGTGGGGCATCACCTCACTCACGAAGTACAAGGGGTTGGGGAACTCCCTCCCCTAGCCAAGGGAAGCCATGAGGGACTGTGCCATGAGGAATGGTGCATTACAGCCCACGTACTATGCTTTTCCCATGGTCTTCACAACCTGCAGACCAGGAGATTCTCTCGGGTGCCTGCACCACCAGGGCCCTGGGTTTCAAGCACAAAACTGGGTGGCCATTTGGACAGACACCGAGCTAGCTGCAGGAGTTTTTTCATACCCCATTGGTGCCTGAGAATGCCAGCAAAACAGAACCGTTCACTCCCCTGGAAAGGGGGCTGAAACCAGGGAGCCAAGTATTCTAGCTCAGAGTATCCCACCCCCACAGAGCCCAGCAAGCTAAGATCCACTGGCTTGAAATTTTCACTGCCAGCACAGCAGTCTGAAGTTGATCTGGGATGCTTGAGCTTGGTGGGGGGAAGGCTACTCAAGCCATCACTGAGGTTTGAGTAGGCGGTTTTCCCCTCACAGTGTAAACAAAGCTGCCAGGAAGTTTGAACTGGGTGGAGCCCACTGCAGCTCAGCAAAGCCACTGTAGCTAGACTGCCTCTCTAGATTCCTCTTCTCTGGGAAGGGCATCTCTGAAAGAAAGGCAGCAGCCCTAGTCAGGGGCTTATAGATAAAACTCCCATCTCCCTGGGACAGAGCACCTGGGGGAAGGGGCAGCTGCAGGCACAGTTTCAGCAGACTTAAACGTTCCTCTCTGCCAGCTCTGAAGAGAGCAATGGATCTCCCAGCACAGCGCTCAAGCCCTGCTAAGGGACACACTGCCTTCTCAAGTGAGTCCCTGACCCCTGCACATCCTGACTGGGAGACACCTCCCAGCAGGGGTCGACAGACACCTCACACAGGAGAGCTCTGGTTGGCATCTGGTGGGTGCCCCTCTGGGACAAAGCTTCCAGAGGAAGGAACAGGCAGCAATCTTTGCTGTCCGGCAGCCTCCGCTGGTGATACCTGGGCAAACAGGGTCTGGAGTGGACCTCCAGCAAATTCCAGCAGATTGGATGTTATTGGTTTATAGAAATGCTACTGAATTTTGGACATTGATTTTCTATCCTGGAACTTTGTTGAAGTTGTTTATCAGAGCTGGGACCCTTTTGTCAGAGACTGGGATTTTCTAGGTATAGAATCATATTATCTGCAAACAGAGATAGTTTGACTTCCTCTTTTCCTATTTGGACACTTTTTATTTCCTTCTCTTACCTGATTGCTCTTGCTAGGACTTCCAGTACTACAATGGCTAGGAGTGATGAGAGTGGGTATCCTTGTTTTGTTCCAGTTCTCAAGGGGAATGTTTCTGGATTTTGCCCATTCAGTATGATGCTGGCTGTGAGTTGTCACGGATGGCTCTTATTATTTTGAGTTATGTACCTTCAATACCTAGTTTGTTGAGGGTTTTTAAACACGAAAACATGTTGAATGTTATTGAAAGACTTTTCTATGATGATCATGTGGTTTTTGTTTTTAGTTCTGCTTATGCAATGAATCACATTTATGGATTTATGTATGTTGAACCAACCTTATATCCTAGGAATAACGCCTACTTGATTTAGTAGATTAGCTTTTCGATGTGCTGCTGGATTTTTGTTGAGGATTTTTGCATCTATGTTTATCAGGGATATTGGCCTGAAGTTTTCTTTTTCCATTGTTTCTCTGGCAGGTTTTGGTATCAGAATAATGCTGGCCTCATAGAATGAGTGAGGGCTCAGCTCAGGCTCTTTGTTCACTCCCCAGCTTGCAGGCAGCAGGGGCAGGGACCTTGGCAGTGACAATGTTAGAGGGCCTTACACTTACCTCTTGGAGCTCCAACCCAGAGAAATGCAGAGCCTCTGCTAACCAAAATGATCAGCCCGGGGTGGAGTGGCTATGTCACACACCCAAGTTGGAAGCCTTGCCTGGTGGTGAGCAGGGGGTGGGGGCTTACAGGGAAGACAGTCTGGCCTCTTTGGGAAAGAGCAAAGAACCTGAGTGCCTGTGGTATGCTGGAGGTGTAATAAGGCACTCAGGTTCTTTGTTCTTTCCCAACCTGGTGGCAGCAATAGCAGGCACCGCTGTAGCAGTGGTGTCAGAGGGATCGTCAGTTGCCTCTGAGAACTCCACCCCAGAGATACATGAAGCTACTGCCAATGGGAATGATCAGCTGGGGGTGGGGTGGCTGCATGGCAGACCCAATCCAGGGGCCCTGCCTGGTGTAGAGCAGGGGGTCAGGGGTTCACAGGGAAAAGGGACTGGGTTCCTCTCTGTAGGACAGCTGCAGCATGCTGGAGGTACCAGCAAAACAGTCAGGATCTTTGTTCTTTCCCCAGCCTGAGGGCAGCAAGGGCAATATCCCCGCAGCTGAGATGGTAGAGAGCCTTTGGGTCGTCTCTGGGATTTCCTCTCCAGATAAAAGCAGTGCCACCACTGACTGAAGTGCTCAGGCGGGGGCAGGATGACTGTGCTGGGGTCCAGGTTGGGAGGCCCTGCACAGTGAGGAGTAGCAGGGGCAGGAATCCACAGGGGAAATAGTCTGGCTGCTTTCCTGCATGGCAGCTGCACTGCGTTGGAGACACATGATAGTCCTTAGGCTCATCACTTACTCCCTCTGCAGCCTCAGGGCAGTAGGGGTGGGGGCTGCAGCAGCAGCAAAAAGGCGGAACTGTCAGTTAACTCTGGGAGCTCTGGCCCAGGGAAGTGCAGAGTCACTACTAGCCTAAGTGTTCAGGCAGGGGTGTGTTGGCTGCGCTGGGGACCTGGGCCCGTGGGCTTTGGCTGGCAAGGTGTGGCGAAGGTAAGGCCTATAGTCTGTCTGCTCCTCAGCACTGTGAAAGCAGCATGTATCTTGGGAGCGTGCAAGAGGGCCTGGCCTCACCTGCTGGCAGAGCTATGGCAGCTGACCCTGGGATGCTCAGGAGCCCAAGGCCCTTGAGGCTCCATATGTGCCTGAGTGGCAGCTCTGCCCAGACTCTGCACAGCGCTCTGTCAGTCTGGAGGCCCTGGAGAGAGAGGGTCAGGGGATCTCCTGTGCCCAGGATTGCAGAGATCCATGGCAAGAGTATGGGCTCCTGGGGGCTCTTGCCCACTCACACTTTCCCTGTGGTGAGAAGCCTTCCTTGGCTCCATGCGAATCCCAGGTGGGCAGCTGCCCTGTCTCACTCTTCTCTCTTCTCTCTGGGTTTTGTTGTTTCCTTGATGAGTCCCAACGTGTCCTCCTGGGCAATCCAGTTGAAGAGGTAGTGTTTATTGGCCATTCTGTCCCTTGATATTACACAACCCATCTGAGCCATAGTCCTTCAGCCACATCCATGACCAAGTGCCTGGGAGATTTAAATAAACTCGGTGCTCTGCTTGTGTAGTAAAAACAGACTACCACCTAAGCTGAGATTTTTAATCATCACTTATGGAAAGGATATCCATGAAAGTCCATTAAAACTATGAATATATACAGATTGAATATCTGATAAGACACATCTTGAAAATATGTAAATATTTTGATGCATAATGTTTAAGGAAGGAGAAAAGAACAGAGACCTTTTTTTAACCTTTTCGTCCTATGTGATATCTGTATTTAGAATATAGTTAACTCATCTGCAAATCCGATTCCAAATAATAGAGAAAAAAATCTATGTTAATTTTTCCCCATTTCACTTGTATTATTTGGAGATATGTAATTTCTAAAAGGCAATAGGCAATACAATGATATTTTAATTTTTAAAAACAAGCAGCTTTTTTTTTTTGCTTTTCTCACTTGGAATGCCAATCAACAAGGGTTTTTTGGTTTTTTGTTTTTTTGCTTGTTTGTTTACTCTACTTATAATGAAATCAAGTAGTTTTTCTGAACAGAATAATATGTTTAGGGGAAGAAATAGCTTATAAGATTATTGACTGAATGTGAAACTCAAACATTAAATGAGATGAAAAAACTAAATTAGTTATTCCCTGAGACAAACAGGGATGGGAGAACACCTCTGGGAGGCAGCTCCTTTTCCTCAGTTTTACTTATGTATTTAGTTCAACATATCCACACATAGTGCTTATCATATACCAGGTACTATTGTAAAATACATAACTGTTGATTTACTGGGTTCTCATAACTCCCTAGGAAGGTTATTTTTATCATTTTGCCCTTTTACCTGAGGTAAGTGAAGCTCATACATGGTGTGATGGTTGATTTTATGCATTTACTTGACTGGGCATGGGGTGCACAGACATTTGATCAAACATTCTTCTGGGTACTTCCATGAGGGTGTTTTCTGATGAGATTAACATTGCAATCAGTAGACTAGTTAAAGCAGATTGTCCTTCTTAATGTGAGTGGCCCTCATCTAATCACCAGAAAGTCTGTTAAGTAGAACAAAAAGGTTGATTCTTGTGCAAATAAGAAAGAACTCCTCCTGCCTGGTGGTTTGAGCTTGGACATTGGTGTCTTCTGTCTTCAGACTCAGCTGAAACATTGGCTCCTCAGACTCACACTGGAACTACACCATTGGCTCTCCCAAGTCTCTAGCTTGTCAGTTGCACATCTTGGGACTTCTCAGCCTCCATAATTACATGAGCCAATTCCTTATCATAAATTTTCTTATATATATGCATGTGTACACACACACACACATATGCACACATATGCGCACGCGCACATACATGTGCACGCACACACACACACACGCACTCACACATACACACACAATCTGTTTATCCAGAGGACTCTAATACAGGGAGTAAGTGTCTCAAGGCCACATAGTTACAAAGCTCACCCAGGGAGTCTGACTCCAGGGCCCATACTCTGGGCATCAAATATCACTCAACGTTCACATAAAACATAATGTCTTAGGCACATTACATGTATAGTAAGTCATAACTTAATGTCATTGATAGGTTATTTGAAATTGCAACTTTAAGTGAAAAGACATACTGTATGCCATAGGAACTTAACTCTTATTTATATCAATTAGCATATGGTAAAATTGGTTTTGTTATATAGTACAATATTTTACTTAAAGTTGCAGTTTCTTTTTTTTTTTTTTTTTTTTTTGAGACAGAGTCTCCCTCTGTCGCCCTGGCTGGAGTGCAGTGGCGCGATCTCGGCTCACTGCAAGCTCCGCCTCCCGGGTTCATGCCATTCTCCTGCCTCCGCCTCCCGAGTAGCTGGGACCACAGGCGCCCGCCACCACGCCCGGCTAATTTATTTTTTTTGGTGTATTTTTTTTTTTAGTAGAGACTGGGTTTCACCATGTTAGACAAGATGGTCTTAATCTCCTGACCTCGTGATCCACCCGCCTTGGCCTCCCAAAGTGCTGGGATTACAGGCATGAGCCACCACGCCCAGCCTAAAGTTGCAGTTTCTAAGAACCTGTCAATGCCATTAAGTGAAGACTTACTATACTCCTGTGAGATCAATACTAATATCTCAATTTGAGAAATGAAAAATTTGAGTCTCAGATGATTTAAGCAAAATACCCAAGGTTACATAGTTCTATGTAGCTGAGGTAGAACTTGAACCCAGATCTTTGTGGCTCCAAACACCATTTTCTTTCCAATTTGCCTTCTGTCAGTTATCTACCTTTAATTAATATAAGTATTTATCTACCTTTAATTAATTACTATGCATAATCATGAAATAAGCTGAATTATCTCTGCATTTTAAGATCTAGATAAAATGGGTTTAATACCACACTGGTGGAAAATCCCAGTAGCCCTCCTGCATTTATTTGAATTTCAGATTCCCTGACTCTGAATTGACAAGTTCTCTAAACTCTTTTTTCTCTTTGCAGCATCTAGAAACTTCTTACTTCCACATGAGGAATACAATGTCATTTGTTGGATTTTCACATGACAACAAAAGAAAATAATAAACAAGACCTTGCTTGCATGGAAAATTCATTGCCTATTGTAGGAAAAGGCAGGGATGTCATTACACAGAGCAAAGAAAATAACAGAGGTTAATCAATGTTACTGCTAGCTTGCTCTTATATATACTTATTTTCATTTCTGATGCTTTTTTCCTCTCAAGGGTAAAAAAACAAACATCAAATCTCTATAAATCTCTCATGCAGGGCACCCAGCTTTCTGCAGCTCTGTCCTTCTTTGGTTTGTAATCCACACTTTTGAAGCCCGTCTAAGTGCATTCATAGACAAGGCCATCTCTCCCCTTGGCCTTTGACTGTGGGGCAGGGTGTAAAAAGTGGGAGGTGGGTTATATGCTTCTAGTTGGGTAAATGCTAAGCGTTTTTATGTGGGTTGCATTTTATTTTCGCTTTCTAACAACATAATTGAACATTCAGAAAGGGTGAGTAACTTTCCAAAAGTTTCACAGATACTGAAAGATAAGTCAGGGTTCATACTTTGGTCTGTCTGATCACAAGCCAGACTAAGATTTGAACTTCTCTGAGACTGTTTCCTCAAATTTAAAATCAGAATCATGTTATCTAATTCACTGGCTGAACCAAGCTCATTCCTCACCCATTTTTTATTGGTACTTCTTAAAGAATGTGGTCCTCACTCTCTAGGTTCCATGTTTTGAGCATAAAATTCCTATCCCTGTACCCCAGGCAGAGAGGACTGGACCAGGCGTGGACCTCTGACCTACAATATCCAAGGCATTAGGTTTTCCTGGTTCATCACCTCCTTCAATTGTAGATGCTGCAGATGCTGCCCTCTCTGTAGAGGTTTAAGTAAACAGGAAAGAATGTTTAATGAAAATAAGGGGAACAAAGAAACCATGTGGAGTAAAAGCAGAGATGACACATCAGGAGGCTACAAATGAACAATAAGTGAAACATTAGTTCCTGGACCTCAAACCTTGATGCCAGCATTCAGGAGGCTTCCTAGGCAAGGAAGTAAATTGGTGTGAGGTGACTGAACTGCAAGATGAGGTGGAATTTCAACATTCAGGCTGCCCTCTCTGCAGAGGTTTAAGTAAACAGGAAAGAATGTTTAATGAAAATAAGGGGAACAAAGAAACTATGTGGAGTAAAAGCAGAGATGACACATCAGGAGGCCACAAATGAACAATAAGTGAAACATTAGTTCCTGGACCTCAAACCTTCATGCCAGCATTCAGGAGGCTTCCTAGGCAAGGCCTGTCAGCTGTCCTATTTCTTCCACTAGATTTCTTTCTTTTGTTTTGTTTAAGCTAGTTTCAATGACAGACAACTATCTCTTGTAATGAAATGATCCTAAGATAAAGTGTTATTGTAAAGTTCAAATGTAATTAGATAAGGAAATGTGCGTACATGTGGTTAGCACATATCTAGAAAATGATGGTTATTAAAGAGTAACTGGTTACAATTATCTCAATCTTATCACTATTAAAATTTCCCCAAGGTCAGCCTGCTTTTTTCAGGACAAGGATTATAATATTTCACGAGATTCAAATTAGTCGTATATTTTTAATTTGAAAAGAAAACTACAAAAGATGTTATAATTCAGTGTAAGCACATTTTATAGCAAATTTATTGTTTGATTTCATTTTCATGTTATATTAAAATTTTTTGTATCAGTGCTTGTCCAACATGGTACAATGGAAACAATCACATTGGAATAATCAAATTTTTGAATTACTTATAATATGCTCTTTCATTTTACCAGATTTTTTGAAATAAAAAATGAATATTAAAGAATATTCATAGTATCTATAGCTATTTTCTGTTCAATTTCTGAAAGAATGAGGAATAGTAGCTTTTCAAAAGCTGGATTTTGGTTTTTGTTTAATTATAATATCATTCAAAGGACTAATAAAGACTAAAAGGAACAATGACTTTATTGTAAAGATACGTATAGACTGACTCTTCAAAGTCACCATGAGGAAGGCTGCACTGTGGCTATTTAAATGTAAATATATTTAAATTAAACAAAACTAAAAATATAGTTTTTTAGTTACATGAGCCACATTTCAAGTGCTCAATATGTTGCTACCATATTGGATAAGTATGGAAGATTTCCTTCACCCCAGGAAGTTCTGTAAAGCACTAGCTTTCTCCACATCTTTCTTTCTTTATTAGGCATTGTTTTCCATAAAATTTTCTACCTGCTATGACCACTCAAAGCCCTACTTCCGTCTCACCCATGGGCAAAATATCCACTACAGTGGCCATTTACCTTTTTGTTAAAGTCACAGAAAGAATGTAGTAACACTCTGTTATTTTTTTTAATCCAACAACCTCTTTTAATTGTGAAACTGCTGCCTCTGACTACAAGCATGAGCAATTGACCAGGTCTAATCTCATCAACCATGGCTCCTTATATTCCTTACTCTAGTTGTGAGTCCAAGGGTAGGCATGGAATTGTATTAGGATCATAGACCCTTTACGAGATTATAATATTCCAATATTGGGGCAAGATAGGTCTCTCTTGCTTTTACTTGGAACAAGTGATCGATGGAGATGGCAGAGGCCATCTTGGCACCATAGGGAAAAGGCCTGCTTGAGAATGAAGCTAAGCAAATGCAAACAGTGCTGAGAGATGTGGCATTGTTCCTAAATCTCAATGTGTGAAAAAACCAATTCCTTTAGCTTGAATGTGGTTACAGCTGTTTGCAACCAAAATATTTCTGAGGCTGAGGAGGGAGGATTGCTTGAGCCCAGGAGTTTGAGACCAGCCTGGGCAATGTAGCAAGACCCTGTTTCCATGAAAAAAAAAATTACCTGGGCCTGGTTGTGTGTGCCTGTAGTCCCAGCTACTTGGGAGGCTGGGGTAGGAGGATCTCTCAAGCCCAGGAAGTCAAGGCTGCAGTGAGCCATGATGACACTGCTGCACTCCAGCTTACGCAACAGAGTGAGACCATTTAAGAAAAAGTCTGGTTAATATATGGGTATTCGTGCATTTTATGACATTGTGTATTAAAAGATACATATTTACAATACTACATTATTTAACTCTCTAAGTAGATTTCTATATAGTATAATACTGCCATTATGTTTTGTCTTTGACATTGCATATTGTCAATTTTATTCAGTTTATTTAGTGCATACTTTATGTAAGGTACTCTCATATTCAAAAATTCTTCTAATAAAATAAATGGACAAATCAAGAATGTATCAAAGAATATGAGTTCTGTCTTGATCATTGGTATAGTTTGGATATTTGTGCCCTCCAAATCTCATGTTGAAATGTGATCCGCAATGTTGGAAGTGGGGCCTGGTGGGAGGTATTTGCATCATAGGGGTGGGTTCCTCATGAAAAGCTTGGTGTCGGCCGGGCGCGGTGGCTCACGCCTGTAATCCCAGCACTTTGGGAGGCCGAGGCGGGCGGATCACGAGGTCAGAGGATCGAGACCGTCCTGGCTAACACGGTGAAACCCTGTCTCTACTAAAAGATACAAAAAAATTAGCCGGGCGCGGTGGCGGGTGCCTGTAGTCCCAGCTACTCCGGAGACTGAGGCAGGAGAATGGCTCGGACCCGGGAGGCGGAGCTTGCAGTGAGCCGAGATTGCGCCACTGCACTCCAGCCTGGGCGACAGAGCGAGACTCTGTCTCAAAAAAAAAAAAAAAAAGAAAAGCTTGGTGTCCTCCCTGTGGTAATGAGTGGGCTCTGGTTGTATTAGTTCACAGGAGGTCTGATTGGTAAAAAGAGTCTGGCACTTCGTTCCCTCTCTCGCCACCTGAGAGGCCAACTCCCCCTTCACCATCTGCCATGATTGTAAGCTTCCTGAGGCCTCACCAGAAGCAGATGCTGATGCCATGCTTTTTGTACAGTCTGCAGAACTGTGAGCCAAAATAAATCTCTTTTCCCTCTAAACCACTCAGCCTTGGCCGGCCGCGATGGCTCACGCCTGTAATCCCAGCACTTCGGGAGGCCAAGACGGGTGGATCACCAGGTCAGGAGATCGAGACCATCCTGGCTAACACGGTGAAACCCCGTCTCTACTAAAAATACAAAAAAAAAATTAGCCTAGCGTGGTGGCGGGTGCCTGTACTCCCAGCTACTCAGGAGGCTGAGGCAGGAGAATGGCGTGAACCCGGGAGGCGGAGCTTGCAGTGAGCCGAGATCGCGCCACTGCACCCCAGCCTGGGCGACAGAGTGAGACTCCCTCCCAAAAAAAAAAAAAAAAAAAAAAATCACTCAGCCTCAGGTATTCCTTTATAGCAACGCAAAATTGACTAATACAATCACAATTACTTTTTAAATGCAAACTAGCTGTGAAAGTTGTCTGTCTCAAATATTTAAGACTATAATTTTATGATCATACAACTCATACTCCCAGCACTCAGTAAAGACAACGTATATTTCTGTCAGTCTTTCATACGCACAATTAGAAAATGATTAAAATAGTCTGATAATAGATTTCCCTGTTAAGCTCAGAAGCCCAGTATTCTTTCTTGGTTTTTAACTGGCATGCTCCTTTTAATTTTATATGTATTTCTTTTAATGATGAATATAGAGGCAATAAATAATACTTTTCTTTATATATGATTGGATTACAATTAACTGATGAATTTAGGAAAGGACTTAAAGATTTATTTTTATCATCTTGTAATTTAAAACAAAACAACAGGGCTATAAACTCCAAATATGCAAGTAAATGTAAAGCTCAACTTCAAAAAATAAATGACTTGACAATGATGAAAAAGTAGAAAATGTTTGAGAAACTTTATAGAAATATCCTTTTACTTCAAAAACAGGAGAAATATGTACCACAGGTAGGCCCCTACTTACAGACTCCTAATTATTCATATGTGAATTCTCAGAAGGCAAGGGCTGGGGGTAATACTGCTTTTAATGAAAGTCTGCTCTTATGAGTTTTCAGATGCCATAACCAAACTGACATTGTGTACCGTTGTTCTCTGGGGAGCTTCATGCACAGAATGAACTCATATGTTACATGACCTTGGGCCAAACAATATCTTAAAGAAGTAATCAGTATAACATTTCAGAAATTGAGGTGGCCAAAGTCGGTCCAGGAAAGTCTCTCAGGATTTGATATGCTGAGTGCAGGAGAATTCATTTTCCATTCAGAGAAAAGGTCGTACAAAGTCTTCATGTGCCTCAAGTGCTGAAAGCAATATAGAAGAAGAAAAATTGGGCTTAAACAAAATTTTAAAAAATCTGTCTTCATTTTCTCCCCCGTGATCCTTTATATCTAGGAAGGCTATTACTGTGGAGAGGCCTTAATATGGACTATTTAGACCAGTCATTTGAACAAATGTCCTAACAACAGCAGAAAAACATGATCAGTGTTCTGCCGAATCTGGACTTGTAATCAAGTAGTCAGTGTTTAAGAGACAAGTTTAGGTCATGGAAATATACTGGAGCCAAAAATCAGAATTCTAGTTTTTGCTCCAGCACTGATTTGTTCAGCTATGAGTGATGTTTTCAGATAGATTTCTTTAGGGTAGGAAGCAATAATGTTATATGAGTTGGAAAGGCTTGATGAATGTTACTGAGTAAATAGATGTTTGCTGATTGCTGTTGAACAGTGGATCAAATTATTAAAGAAAAGTTAGGATAGAAAAATCCAAATACAGGCGGGGTGCGGTGGCTCACGCCTATAATCCCAGCACTTTGGGAGGCCGAGGCGGGCGGATCACGAGGTCAGGAGATCGAGACCATCCTGGCTAACACGGTGAAACCCCGTCTCTACTAAAAATATAAAAAATTAGCCGGGTGTGGTGGCAGGCGCCTGTAGTCCCAGCTACTCGGGAGCCTGAGGCAGGAGAATGGCGTGAACCCGGGAGGCGGAGCGTGCAGTGAGCCAAGATCGCACCACTGCACTCCAGCCTGGGAGACAGAGCAAGACTCGGTTTCCAAAAAAGAAAGAAAGAAAAGAAAAATCTAAATACAAAATTATAACAGTATGTAGCCATTTAGAGTTCATTAGTTACAAAGCTGTTAAGATTATAGATATTGCATATTATAATATATACGTGTGGAATTTCTGGAACTGATATTGTTTTTGTTTAAGCAGTTGCCAGTTTGGCAACATTTTACATTTTCTGTAGTGAGTGAAAACAAATTATTTGATCTGTAATTACTATTTTATGAAACATATTATTTGACTGTTAAATCATCAATTCTTTTGGAGCTGGCCAACAATGTACCAATTTATTTTTAGTAGTGCAGCCCATGATAAAGAAAAGCAGAAAGCCACTAAGGACAAAAAGATTACTGAGAGCTCCTCCTCATTGTACTTAAATTTTGTTTAGGGTGAGATAAACGGAAAAAGAGCTTCAGACTTTGAAGATCTAGAAATGTGGGCAAATTTTCCAAATGTTCGTGTGGATGAGTAAACTGTCACATTTCCAGAACGAAGAACATTGTTTTTTATTCTGCCTGGACTAGTATTAGGGAAAATGTTCAATTGAAAAAGTTACCATATAAGAATTATATCCAGAGTATCATATTTAATTGATTTTTTGCTTACACACACAAAAAAAATTCAATTATCAATGTTTTTGAGCAAAAATAAGGCAACAGGTCAGGCTCTAAAAATAAATATAAGACTATAAAAGATGCATGTCTTATATTCTACCATGGTAAATGGGGCAGTGAAAGGAGTATGCGGAGTCCTCCTTCTGGTATACAGAATTTATATTATTGCTTTATTATTGCCTCACACACATCAACCCTTGAGGCAGGAAAGATGTGTTCATAGAAAGCAACTTACCAGTGACCGTGCCAGACATGTTCAAATGTGCTTCACTATGACATGGTAAGAATACACTAATATTAATGTAACATCAACAAGAATTCAGTAAAGATAGAAATCTGATAATAGTAACAACCATCATTAATTAATGAGTCCTTGTTATATACCAGGCACTGTGTTAGTGCTCTCTGTCTTTCTGTCTGTCTCTCTCTCTCAGAAACTATGCATATTCATATATATTTATATAAAATGATCATACAATTCTAGCAACCACATAAAAGTTTGGAAGCGTTTCCCCTTTTTTCTCTTTTTGAAGAAATGGGGAAACACAGGCACAGACAAATATGGAAACTTTGCAGCATTCATGCAGAGGATGCAGAATGGAGCCTGAATTAAAATGCTCCCTTGGATAGAAGAGGCTTCATTCTTCTTTCTAGAAAGACTGTGTGGTGAAGGTCCTGGATTGTGACAAATATGCTATTTCCTCTAAACCCAGACTCCCTCCTCTTCAGGTGGTTTGAACCGTCTTTCCTACCCCTAAACCTGTAGATTATGCCTCCATCTCTCCCATCCTTACACTCCACTCAAAAGGTAATCTGCTCTCTTCGTTCTTTCTCTTAGTCCATTCTGCCTCCAAATGTCTCCACCATACTCTCTCTGGAACACCATTCCATTCTCATCAACTCCCTCCACATCCTCTACCTTACACACCTTGACTTAAGTGAGCCTTCTATAAAGACACTGCCCACCTCCCACCTCCAGCAATTCAAAGGGATGCTTCTCAGAGTTGGAGGCTTCTTGGGGTTGGGAGGAGAGGCCAGTGTTCTCCATCCTCAGTGCAGTTCCAGACCATTCCTCCTCTGAAACAAACCCTTTCCCTTGAGGCTGACAACATCCAGCCATGTGACCCTGTACTTCTTTCTCACACTCTTTTGCTTTTACTGAAGACTTTGAAGCTTTTTCTCTAAGTTTCACCATCATTTTTGTATCTGGCACATAGTAGTTGCTAAATTATATTATTAAAAAATTCACAGTGATTATTCGTAATAAATTATGTGTGATACACTCACAATTCATGGTGAAATGACCATGTATCTCGAGAAGAGATTTGAAAAGGACAATGAGGACACCCCTTCCCATACTCCAAACTCTAAGTTGCATGATCTTGTCAGTCTCAGGATTGTCAGCCATCCACTTCCACAGCCAAATCCTAGACATGCTGGAGCTTCGAAATATTCTATTATAATATCACATACATACACACTTATTCCAAACTGCATTCCTCCAGCCATCACTCGTCACCTCCACTCTGCCTTTCTTCATTGTATTGTAAAGAATGAATTGGGTTAGTGTGACAGTCTTTATCAGTATTCCCATTACTCTACTACTTTGTCTTCCTACCGTACCTCCTGTGGAAAAAAATTCCACATCATCATCCACCAGACCGTCTTCTGTTCTCCTCCTACACAAACAACTCTCCTACAGATGGAGAAACTCATATAACTGCATTAAAAGTTCATTTGAAAGGCATAGTTGCCAAACTCAATTGGAATACCACCTGGTATTTCTATATTTTCCTGGGCAACTTTCTCTTTCACTTCCCACAGAGCATATTTCAAACTTCTATTGTGCTTTAGTTTTCTTTATTACATCACCATATGAAAGTGTAATTCATTTATTCTGCACTTACTTACTAGACATCTGTTATGTGCCAGGCAAAGGGTGCTGGGTATTATGGTAGAAAAAAGTATAACATTTGAGTTTGTTCCCTCTCACTTCTGCCTTCGTTCCTAAAAGCATTCACCTATCTCTGTGCCCACCTTGCCTAGGGGAAGATATATCTCCCTCCATGCCCAACCATTCTACCTGTACTCTGTTAGCTCAGCCATTACCTCAGTTAGCTTATCCTTCTCTCCTCTACCTGAAAATTCTCCATCCTACCGGCTCACTTCCCCAGCAACACTTACACTTATTTATTTCTGTCCTATCTTTAACCAATCAATATGACCACTCTCAACCATCATGTTTGCTTCTAAGTATTTCCCTATATCTTCTACATTCTTCAGACCCGCGGTATAGTTGTCCATGCTCCCCTCCTCATTCATTTCATTCTCTCTCCAGCCTCCTGCAGTTTGGCATCTTCTCCACTATTCTACTGCAGCAGTCCCTTCCAGGGTCAACAAAGCCTCTTTATTAGAAAATGCACAGGGCACTTACTTTCTTCAGTCTTTGAACTCTGCAGGCATTGTGTGTGTGTGTGGGGGGGGGGGTGGAGACAGAATTTCGCTCTTGCTGCCCAAGGCTGGAGTGCCATGGCACAATCTCTGCTCACTGCAACCTCCACCTCCTGGGTTCAAGTGATTCTCCTGCCTCACCCTCCCAAGTAGCTGGGATTACACGTGCCTGCCACAATGCCTGGCTAATTTTTGCATTATTAGCAGAGACAGGGTTTCACCATGTTGGCCAGGCTGGTCTCGAACCCCTGACTTCAGATGATCTACCCGCCTCAGCCTCCCAACGTGCTGGGATTACAGGCGTGAGCCACTGTGCCTGGCCAGGCATTTCTTTTTATAAACCGTGTACCCTGCCTCTGGGCCACCAGAGGTTCCTGGTCTTCTCCCACTCACCTCTATGTTCAGTTACTCTGCCTGTCATGACATGCGGTGATCCTCTATGTTCATTCTTCTCTCCTTACAGTTTGTGTGTTCCACGAATGACATCATTTACTCCCTCAAATCCAAGTGCATATTTTATTTGTGTGAATCCCCAATAAGTAAGTTCCTATGGACAGAGGCTGTGCATGTTCGTTGTTTTAGTCCTGACACCTATCACAGCTGCCTGACAACCCAGTGCCCAGCAATACAGAAAAATGCACAGACTGAATAATACAGGAAATTGTAGTCTGGGCGCGGTGGCTCAGGCCTGTAATCCCAGCCCTTTGGGAGGCCGAGGTGGGTGGATCACGAGGTCAGGAGATGGAGACCACGATGAAACCACGTCTCTACTAAAAATACAAAAAAAATTAGCCGGGCGCGGTGGCGGGCGCCTATAGTCTCAGCTACTCGGGAGGCTGAGGCAGGAGAATGGCATGAACCCAGGAGGCGGAGCTTGCAGTGAGCCGAGATCGCGCCACTGCACTCCAGCCTGGGCGACAGAGCGAGACTGTGTCTCAAAAAAAAAAAAAAAAAAATACAGGAAGTTGTAACCCGGAGGACCCATTGAAAGTGGAGTGTATTCTTTCACTCAGTATTCACTGGGAATGCACTATACACTAGTTCCAATGTTTGTGTTGGGAATTCAGTGAAGAGCAAGAAAGACAAAGTAGCCCCTGGCACTTACATTCTAGTAAGGGAAATAGTCATTAAACATATATACTATATAGGGTGTCAGAGAGTGACAAGTGCCACGAAGAAAATAAAGCAGGGAAGGGAGTTACAGAGTGATAGAAGGTAAAAGTGCGCCAGCTAGTTAGGGTAGTCTGGGAAGGAAGGCTTTTTGGTGGCATTAACCCTGAAGAAATGAATGTAATGAGAAAATGCCTAGCGGCTATTTGAAAGAAAACCATTTCAAGAGGAGGAAATGGTAAGTACAGTGAAGTGGGAAAGACTTTGGGGTACTTGAGGAGCAGAAATCAGGCCAAAGGGATTGGAGCTGAAGTTCTGATTCTAGGTAGAATATAGGAGGCAGTGGCACTGCATCACTCCCACTGGAACAAGTAGTTCAAAAAGTAAAGAAATTGGAAATGTAATCGTTTTAAAGATATCAGAGAGCTGTGGTGGCATAGATGATTAGATGGACTACAAGTGAAGTTGAGATGACTCCTATTTCCTTCACTGAGAGGCAAGGTTTCTGTTCAGACTTGCCCTAAGCTGAGGTGTTTCGCCAGGGGAAAGAGAAGACAATAGAGTTTACTTTCTACCTAGCTTCATTGAGGTACGACTCATGCACCGTACAATTCACCCATATAAAATTTACAATTCAATATTTTTTAGTGTTTTAGAGATATGTGCAACCATCCCCACAGTCAACTTTTGAACACTTTTATCACCTCAGAAATAAAAGCCATGGCCGGGCGCAGTGGCTCACGCCTGTAATCCCAGCACTTTGGGAGGCCGAGGCGGGCAGATCACGAGGTCAGGAGTTTGAGATCAGCCTGGCCAATATGGTGAAACCCCGTCTCTACTAAAAATACAAAAATTATCCAGGCACTGTGGCACGCGCCTGTAGTCCCAACTACTTGGGAGGCTGAGGTAGGAGAATTGCTTGAACCCTGCATTCCAGCCTGGGTGACAGGGCAAGACTCCATCTTAAGAAAAAAAAAGAAAGAAAAAAAAGCCACATGCTTCAGCTATTACTCCTTGTCTTCCTAAGCAGCACCTAGGCTTCTTTCTCCCAGTAGATTGTCCTATTGTGGACATTTCTTATGAATGGAGTCAATAATATGTGGTCTTTTGTTACTGACTTCTTTCAGTTAACATAATGTTTTCAGGGTTCTCCATGTTGTGGCATGTATCAGCTCCTCATTCCTTTTTTGTGAGTAAAGAAAAAATAACAAAATTTAACATTTTAACCATTTTCAAGTGTACATTACAGTACTGTTAACTGTATGCAAGTTGTTGTGCAATAGGCCTCTGTAACTTTTTCATCTTGCCAAAGGGAAACTCTGTACCCGTGGAAAAACTCCCAATTTCCCCCTCTTCCCTAGCTCTGGTTGTCACATTCTACTTTCTGTTTCTATGAATTTGATTACTTTCGAAAATGTATACACAGGGAATCATGCAGCATTATTCCTTTCATGACTGGCATATTTCATGTAGCATAATGTGCTCAAGCCTTATCCGTGTTGTAGCATATGGTAAGATTTTCTTCTTTCTTTAGGCTGAATAATATTCCAGTGAATATATGGTTTATACATTAATTTGTCAGGAGATATTAGTGTTCTTCCAACTCTTGGCTATTGTGAGTAATACTGCAATAAAGATGGATGTGCAAATATCTTTTCAAAATCCTACTTTAAATTTTTTTGATATATACCCAGAAGTGGGATTGCTGGACTATATGGTAGTCCTGTTTTAAATTTTTTGAAGAACCTCTGTTTTCCATAGTGGCTACACCATTTTACGTTGACACCAACAGTGCACAAGGGTTTCAAGTTCTCTATATCCTTGCCAGTATTTCTTATTTTCTGTTTCTGTTTTGTTTTTTTGGATAGTGGTCTAGCTAAGAGATGTGAGGTGACATCTCATTGTGGTTTTGATTTGCATTTCTCTGATTAGTGATATTGAACATATTTTTAAATGTTGGCCATATTGATGTCATCCTTAAAGAAATGTCTATTCAAATACTTTGTTAATAGGGTTTTTTGTTTGTTTGTTTGTCTAGTTTTGATGTTGTTGAGTTGTAGGAATTCTCTATATGTTTGGATATTAACCCTCATCAGATGCATGGTTTGCAAATATTTTCTTCCATTCTGTAGGTTGCCTTTTCACTCTCTTCATTATTTCCTTTCTATGCAGAAGATCTGAAGTTTGATTTAGTTGCATTTGTATATTTTTGCTTTTATTTCCTCTGCCTTTGGTGTCATGTCCAAGAAATCATTGCCAAATCCAAAAACATGAAGCTTCTCCCCTATATTTTTATCTTACTAGATAATGTTATAATTTTATAAATTTTAGTTTTATAAATATAATTTTATAAATTACAGTTTTATAATTTTAGGTCTTACATTTAGGTCATTAATCCATTTTGGTTTGTTTGTTGTTTTGAGACAGGGTCTCTCTCTGACAACCAGGCTGGAGTGCAGTGGCATCATCACAGCTGACTGCAGCCTCAACCTTCTGGGCTCAAGCAATCCTCCTGCCTTACCCCCACCTCTCCCAGTAGGTGGCACTACAGGGTGCGCGCCACCACACCCGGGGGAATTTTTACATTTTTTGTAGAGACGGGTTCGCAGTGTTGCCCAGGACTTGAGCGATCCTCCCACCTCAGCCTCCCAAAGTGGTGGGATTACAGGCGTGAGCCACTGCACCTAGCCGTTAATTCATTCTGAAGTGATTTTTGTATATAGGTACAGGAAAGTAAGGGTCTAACTTCATTATTTTACATGTGAATATCAAGTTTTCTCAGCACCATTTGTTGAAGACACTATCTTTTCCCCATTGTATAGTCTTGATGCCCTTATGGCAGATTATTTTACCACATATGTGAGAGTTTATTTCTGGGCTCTCTATTCTGGCCCATTGGTCTCTATGTGTGTCTTTATTCCAGTATTATGCTATTTTGATTACTGTAGCTTTACACTGTTTTTTGAACTTGAGAAGCGTGAGACCTCCAGCTTTGTTTTTCTTTCTCATAACTGTCTTGACTATTTGGAATACTTTGAGACTCCTAATGGATTTTGGATTTTTTTTCTGTTTCTGCAAAAAATTCCAATGAGATTTTTATACGGACTGCATTGAATCTGTAGATTTGGGGGGTAGTATGAACACTGTAACCATATTCTTTTCCAATCCAGGAACATGGGATGTCTTTATATTTATTCGTGTCTTCATTAATTACTTTCAGCAATATTAAGAGTATTCAGTATACAGGTCTTTTGCCTCTTTGGTTGAGTTTATTCCTAAGTATTTTATTCTTTTTGATGCTCTTGTAAAGGGGATTTAAAAACATTTTCTTTTCTGATTATTTATTCTTAGTGTCTAGAAATGCAACTGATTTTTGTGGGTTGATTTTGTTTCCTGCAACTTTACTGAATTAGTTTATTAGTTGTAACAGTTGTCTCTCTGTGTGTGTGTGTGTGTGTGTGTGTGTGTGTGTGTAATCCTTCAGGTTTTCTACATGTAAGATTATATCATCTGCAAACAGAGATAATTTTATTTCTTCCGTTCAAAATTGAATCCTTTTTACTCCTTTTTCTTGCCTAATTGCTCTGGCTAGAACTTTCAGTACTGTGTTGAATAGACATGGCAAGACTGGGCATGCTTGCCTTGTTTCTATTTGTAGGGGGAAAGCTTGAGTATGATGGTAGCTATGGGCATTACCTATAGGGCTTTTTATATGTTGATGTAATTTTCTTTTATTTCTATATTATTGAATTTTACATGAAAGGGTGCTGAATTTTATTAAAAGCTTATTATTGCACTAATTGAGATGATCATGTGACTTTTTTACCTTTCTGTCAGTTAATATAGTGTATTGCATTGACTAATTTTTGTATGTTGAACCATCCTTGCATCCCAGGAATAAATACCACTTGGTCATAGTGTACTGCTGAATTAAGTTTATGATATTTTGTTGAGAATTTTTGCATCAACATTTAGCAAGATTATTGGTGTGTAGTCTTTTTGTGGTGTCCTTCTTTAGCATTGGTATTAAGGTAATACTGGCCTCATAAAATGAAAGTATTTTTTCTTCTGAAATTTTTCAGAAGAGTTTGAGAAAGAGTGATGCTAACTACTCTTTAAATGTTTGGTAAAACTCATCAGTGAAACCGTCTAGTCCTGGGGCTTTTCTTCATTGGGAGATTTTTGATTACTAATTCAATCTCCTAAGTTATAGATGTGTTCAGATTTTAATTTATTCACAATTCAATCTTGGTAGGTAGTATATTTCTAAGAATTTATTTCTTCTAAGTTATCCAATGTACTGGAGTATTGTTCATAGCAGTCTCTCGTAATCTTTTTACTTCTGCGTCCTCATTTTTAATGTCTCATTTCTGATTTGTGTTACTCTACTTTAGACTTCTATTTTCTTACTTATTGAAAGAATTTGTTAAATTTTTTATTTTTTAAAAAAACTCTTATTTCATTGATTTTTCTATTTTTTTTAATTTATTCTCTATTTCATTTATGTTTTCTGTAATCTACGACCTTCCTTTTGCTAACTGTAATCTAGGACCTTCCTTTTACTAACTTTGGATTTAGTTTGCTATTCTTTTTCTAGTTCTTTGAGATACAAAATTATCTCCAATTATTGATTGGGGATCTTCTTTTAAAAATACAAACATTTACTGCCACAGTTTTGGTGTGTTGTGTTTTCATTTTCACCTGCTTTAAAATACTGTTAAATAGTGATTTCTTGACTCATCAAGTTGTTCAAGAGTATATTGCTTAATTTCCACATCTTTGTGAATTTTCTAGTTCAGAGTTTTCTAGTCCAGATTTCTAGTTTCATGATTATTAGAAAATATAGTTGGTTTTCTTTCAGTTTTTTTTTGAATTGTTAAAACTTGTTTTGTGTCCTAATATGTGTTCTGTCTTGGAGACTGTTTTATGTGCACCTGAGAAGAATGTGTATATTAACATAGGGTGGAATATTGTTTATATATCTATTAGAGTCAATTCACTTTTAGTACTGTTCAAGTCCTTTATTTCCTTATTATTTTTCTTTCTGGTTGATCTATTTATTATTGAAAAAGAGTATTGTAATCTCCTCCTATTATTTTTTTAATCTAATTCTTCCTCCAGTTCTATCAATGTTTGCTTCATGTATTTGGGTGCTCTGCTGTTTGGTGCATATAGACTTATAAGTGTTGTACTGTGAATTGACACTTTCATCAATATGATGTGTCTTGTTTTTCTCTTGTGACAGTTTTTAGCTTAATGTCTATTTTGTCTGATATATGTATGGGCACCCTTGCTATTTTGGTTACCTCTTGCATGGAATATATTTTTCTATTCCTTCATTTTCAGCCTGTGTATGTTTTCAAAGCTAAGTGAATCTCTTGTAGATAGCATGCAATTGGATCTTTTTAAAATTGATTCCGCCACTCGGTCTTTTGACTGCGGAGTTTAATCCATTCACACTTAAAGTAATTATTGATGGGGAAGGACTTACTATTGCAATTTTGTTAATTGTTTTCAGTATGTCTTAGAGTTGTTTGTCCCTCTTTTCCTCTCTTGCTGCCTTTGTGTTTCATTGATTTTTTTTGTAGTGTTATGCTTTGAGGACTTCCTTATTTTCTTTGGTATGTCTTCTATAGCAATTTTCTCTGTAAGTTACCATGGGGATTATATAAAACATCTTATAGCTATAACAATTTATTTAAACTAAAAATTTAATTCAATTGCATACAAAACCTCTACTCTTTTACCTCCAATTCACCTTACATTATCAATGTCACAAATTATACTTTTAGTATTTTGTATCCATTAATATAATTTAATAATTATGGTTATTTTTATGCTTTTATTTATACCTGATTTAAAAATGATTTATGGACCACTATTGTAGTATGACAAGATTCTGCATTTTTTTTTTTTTTTAGACAGAGTCTCACTCTGTCACCCAGGCTGGAGTGCAGTGGTGCAATTTCAGCTCGCTGCCAGTTTTGCCTCCTAGGTTCATGCCATTCTCCTGCCTCAGCCTCCTGAGTAGCTGGGACTACAGGCACCCGCCACCATGCCCTGCTACTTTTATTTTATTTTATTTTTTATATTTTTAGTAGAGACAGGGTTTCACCGTGTTGGCCAGGATGGTCCCGATCTCCTGACCTCGTGATCCACCCACCTCAGCCTCCCAAAGTTCTGAGATTACATGCTTGAGCCACTGCGCATGGCCTAGATTCTGCATTTGACTATATGTTTACCTTTACCAGAGAGCCTTATACTTTTGTATGCTTTCAAGTTGGTATCTAGCTTTCTTTTATTTCAACTGAAAGGACTACCGTTAGTAATTCTAGCAAGGTAGGTTAATGGTGATGAACTTCTTCAGCTTTTGCTTATCTGGGAAGATCTTTATTTCTCCTTCAGTTTTGAAGGGCAGATTTGCTGTCTATTCTTAGTTGGCAGTTTTCTTTCTCTTTCAGCCCTTTGAATATACTACCCCATTCCCTTTCAGTCTGGAATGTTCCTGCTGATGAGTTTGCTGATAATCTTATGAGAGTTCTCTTGTATATAAGTCACCTTTCTCTTGCTGCTTTCAAGATTGTCTGTCTTGGACTTTTGACTGATTATAATGTGTCATTGTGTTGGATCTTTAGGTTCATCTTAGACAGAGTCCTTCAAGCTGCTGAAATTTGGTTGTCCATTTCGTTTTTCAGATTTGGGAAGTTTTCAGCCATTTCTTCAAATAAGCTCTCTGCCACAGGCTACTCTTCGTTGTGCAATCTGTGGACCCAGTTGTCATCTGCCACCACTGTCTAGTTATCTTTTGACTGCCACAAGTGGACTCCAAAAAATCTCCAAAAGAAATTGTTACCATAACAAGATGGCCAACTAGACACAGCCAGGAAGCACTGCTCCCACTGAGAGACACCAAAATATTGAGTACACCAATGTATTTTGAGCCCATCTTCAGAGAGAAAATGCTGAGAGTCATTACAGAGGTGATGCAGACAACAAGGCTGAAGAGGGAGGAAGCTGGAAACCCTGCACAGGATACTTGCATGACAGGGCTAGTTCCCAGACCTGAATGCCTCCTGGGGAAGGGATAAGTGAAGGGATGGAGGGACAGGCCACTCTCACTGTGGACCTCTGGGATCCTAGGTACATAGAACTTCACATTCTCCATGGACATTTGAGCTGGCAGGGGGATCTTCAAAGAGAGTTGGCAGACAGGGCTTCACCGGCATGGAGCCTAGGAGCTTTTGTGCATGTGGAGCTGTGGCAGAGCATGGCCTAGACACCCATCCCCCAGGGCTCCCCACCTCCCTACAGGCAGCTCTAGCCTCAGCTGATTGCTGGCCCAAGAGAGAGTGTGGCTGGCTTCCCTGTGGGACTGGGAAACTTCCAGGGCCCCTGCCTGGCCACCCTGCAGGAGGTGTGCACAGAGTAGCCTCTGCTGCCAAGCCTGGGTGCTTTGCTTCACCTGAGTACCTTCCTGGTGGCCTGGGAGCACTTTGGATCCCCCAGAACAGCTGGGGCCCAATCTCAAGGGTCTGGAGGATGAAGCTGAAAGCCAGTCCTAGCTCCCCAAAACTACACAAATACATGGAAATTGAACAGCTTGCTCCAGAATAACTCCTTGGTGAACAATAAAATTAAGGAAGAAATAAAAAAATTCTTTGAAATAAATGAAAATAGGGACACAGCTTACCAAAATCTCTGGAACACAGCTAGAACAGTATTAAGAGGAAAGTTTATAGCACTAAGAACCTTCAGCAAGAAATTAGAAAGGTCTCAAATTAACAATGTACCTTTGCAACTAGAGGAACTAGAAAAAAACAAGCCAACCCCAAAGCAAGCAGAAGATAATAAATATCTAAAATTAGAGAAGAACTGAATGAAATTTAGACACAAAAATCCATAGAAAAGATCAATGAAACAAAGTGTTTTTTCTTCAAAAGAATAAACAAGATCAATAAACCACTAGCTATATTAACAAAGAAAAAAAGAGAAGATCTAAATAAGTACAATCAGAAATGACAAAGAAGACATTGCAACTGATCCCACAAAAATACAAAAGATCCTCAGAGACTATTATGAACAGCTCTATGTACACAAATTAAGAAAACCTAGAGAAAATGGATAAATTCCTGGAAACACACAAATTCCCAATATTGAACCAGAAAGAAAATGAAAACTTGAACAGACCAATAAGTTCCAAAATTATATCAGTATTAAAGAAACTGCCAACCCCAAAAGAAAAAAAAGAAAAAGAAAAAGAAAAGCCCTGGACCAGATGGATTCACAGACAAATTCTCTCAGACATAAAAAGAAGAACTGGTACCAATCATATTGAAACTATTCAAAAAAATCGAAAAGGAAGGGTACCTCTCTAACTTATCCTATGAAGCCAGAATCAGTCTGATACCAAAATCTGGCAGAGACACAACAAAAAAAGAAAACTTCAGGCCAATATACCTAACGAACATAGGTGCGAAAATTCTCAACAAAATACTAGCAAACTGAATCCAGCAGCACATCAAAAAGTTAATTTACTACAATAAGGCAGGCTTTACTCCTGGGATTCAAGGCTGGTTGAACATATGCAAATCAATAAATGTGATCCACCACAGTAACAGAATTAAAAGCAAAACCCATATGATCATCTCAGTAGATGCAAAAAAAGCTTTCAATAAAATCCAACATCCCTTCATGATAAAAGCCCTCAACAAACTAGGCATCTAAGGTACATACCTCAAAATAGTAAGAGCCATCTACACCAAACCCACAGCCAACAGCATACTGACTGTGCAAAAGCCAGAAGCATTCCCCCTAAGAACAAAAACAAGACAATGATGCCTACTCTCACTGCTGCTATTCAATGTAGTACTAACAGTCCTAGCCAGAGCAATTAGGCAAGAGGAAGAAATAAAAGACATCCGCGGCTGGGTGTGGTGGCTCACACCTGTAATCCCAGCACTTTGGGAGGCCGAGGCGGGCAGATCACGAGGTCAGGAGATCGAGACCATCCTGGCTAACACAGTGAAACCCTGTCTCTACTAAAAATACAAAAACAAAAACAACAAACAAACAAACAAACAAAGACATCCGCATGGGAAAAAGAAGAGGTCAAATTATCTCTCTTCACTGACAGTGTGATTCTCTCTTTTTTTGAAACTGAGTCTCCCTCTGTTGCCCAGGCTGGAGTGCAGTAGCACCATCTCAGCTCACTGCAGCCTCTGCCTCCTGGGTTCAAGTGATTCACCTGCCTCAGCCTCCAGAGTAGCTAGGATTACAGGTATTCACCACCACGCCCGGCTAATTTTTGTATTTTTTAGTAGAGATGGGGTTTCACCCTGTTGGCCAGGCTGGTCTTGAACTCCTGACCTCAAGTGATCTGCCTGCCTCAGCCTCCCAAAGTGCTGAGATTACAGGTGTAAGCCACCATGCTTGGCCACTGATAATATGATTCTATATCTAGAAAACCCTAAAGACTCTGCCAAAAGGCCCGTCAAACTGCTAAATGACTTCAGTAATGTTTCAGGGTACAAAAATAATGTACAAAAATCAATAGCATTTCTATATATATCTGAGTACCTCAGCCTCGAAATACATTTTTAAACTATTTTTTTCCTTTCCTTCCTAATCTCAGAATGTAGCCTTATAGTGTAAGACTCTTTGTTATGCCCTTTCCCTACAGGCATATCTGTGTACAGTGCTTGCTCATCTAACTATGTGCTTGCTTAGAAATTCCAGGAGCCAATTTTGAAACAAACCAGGCAGAGAGACCAAGCCGCAGATCTTCCCACTCAAGGGGAGTTACGCCCAAGTCCGGATGATGCAAATCAGATCTCTAGATGGGAGATTACTTGAGATAACTATGGGAACAAGACATGCAGATATGCACTCCCTTTTCACTACTCATGTCTATATCCCACACCTTTTTCCTTCTTAAACCCCTTCACTCGGCCCAGAAGGCTGAGATGGCTCTTTTGAGGCTTATGCCCAGACATTCTCCCATCTGCTAGCATTTGACCAATAAAAGTTGCTTTCCTTTCACCACACCTCAGTTCTCATGCTTTGACTTCTGAGAGGAGAGCAGCTGGACTTGAGCTGGTTACATATACACCAATAATGTTCAAGCTGAGAGCCAAATCAAGAACACAATCCCATTTACAATAGCCACACACAAAAATGAAATACCTAGGAATACAGCTAACCAAGAAGGTTAAAGATCTCTACAAACCTGACAATGTTGGTGTTGTCGTGTTTGGAAATGTTTAACTAATTAAGGAAGGAGCTAGAATGAAGAGGACAAGAGCCATTGTGGACATTCCAGTTGGTGAGGAGCTGTTGGGTCATGTGGTTGATGCCCTTCGTAATGCCATTGATGGAAAGGGTCCATTTGGTTCCAAGAACCATAGGTGAGTTGGTCTGAAAGCCCCTGGAATCATTCCTCAAATTTCAGTGCAGGAACCAATGCAGACTGGCATTAAGGCTGTAAATAGCTTGGTGCCAATTGGCCATGGTCAGTGTGAGCTGATTATTGGTAATGGACAGACTGGAAAAATCTCAATTGCTATTGACACAATCATTAACCAGAAATGTTTCAATGATGGATCTGATGAAAAGAAGAAGCTGTACTGTGTCTATGTTGTTATTGGTCAAAAGAGATCCACTGTTGCCCAGTTGGTGAAGAGACTTACGATGCAGATGCCATGAATTACACCATCGTGGTGTCAGCTACGGCCTCAGATGCTGCCCCACTTCAGTAACTGGCTCCTTACACTGGCTGTTCCATGGGAGAGTATTTTAGAGACAATGGCAAACATGCTTTGACCATCTATGACAACTTATCCAAACAGGCTGTTGCTTACCATCAGATGTTTCTGTTGCTCTGCCAACCCCCTGGTTGTGAGGCCTATCCTGGTGTTGTGTTCTACCTATGCTCCCAGTTGCTGGAGAGAGCAGCCCAGATGAACAATGCTTTTGGTGGTGGCTCCTTGACTGCTTTGCCAGTCATAGAAACAGACTGGTGATGTGTCTGCTTACATTCCAATGAATGTCATTTCTATCACGAACGGACAGATCTTCTTGGAAACAGAATTGTTCTACAAAGGTATCCACCCTGCCATTAATGTCGGTCTGTCTGTGTCTCGTGTCAGATCTGCTGCCCAAACCAGGGCTATGAAGCAGGTGGCAGGTACCATGAAGCTGGAAGTGGCTCAGTATCATGAGGTCACCACTTTTGCCCAGTTCAGTTCTGACCTCGATGCTGCCACTCAACAACTTTTGAGTTGTGGTGTGTGTCTAACTGAGTTGCTGAAGCAAAGACAGTATACTCCCATGGCTATTGAAGAACAAGTGGCTGTTATCCATGTGGGTATTAGGGGCTATCTTGATAAACGGGAGCCCAGCAAGATTACAAAGTTTGAGAATGCTTTCTTGTCTCATGTCAGCTGACACCAAGCCCTGTTGGGCACTACCAGGGCTGATGGAAAGATCTCAGAAGAATCAGATGCTGAATTTGAAGCTTAAACGCCTGTGGATTTACATCAAATACCAGTTCAGTTTTGTCATTGTTTATTCTAGTAGATTAGTTTCATTTGTGAAAGGGTTACTCTCATACTCCTTATGTACAGAAATCACATGAAAAGTAAAGGTTCCATAATGTGAAAAAGAAAAAAGATCTCTACAAGGGGAACTGCCAACCACTGCTGGAAGAAATCACAGATGACACAAATAAATAAAAAAAAATTCCATGCTGATGGATTGGAAGAATCAATATTGTTAAAATGACCATGCTGCCCAAAGCAGTTTAAAGATTTAATGCTATAACTACCAATGTCATTTTTCACAGAACTAGAAAAAACTATTCTAAAATTCATATAGAACCAAAAAACAGCCCGAATAGCTAAAGCAATCCTAAGCAAAAAGAACAAAGCTGGAGGCATCACACTACCCAACTTCAAACTATACTATAAGGCTACAGTAAGCAAAACAGCTTGGTCCTGGTACAAAAAAAGACAGATGAATGGAACAGAATAGATAATCCAGAAGCAGTTCTGCACACCTATAGCCATCTGCTCTTTGACAAAGCCCACAAAAAAATGGGAAAAGGGTCCCCTATTCAATAAATAGTGCTGAAATAACTAGCTAGCCATATGCAGAACAATGAAACTGGACCCCTACCTTTTATCGTATACAAAAATTAACTCAAAATGAATTCAAGATTTAAATGTATGACCTCAAACTATAAGAATCCTGGAAGAAAATCTAGGAAAAACAGTATTCTGGACATCAGCCTTGGCAAAGAATTTTTGGCTAAGTCCCCAAAAGCAATTGCAACAAAACCAAAAACTGACATGTGGGACCCAATTAGACTAAAAAGCTCCTGCTCATCGAAAGAAACTGTCAGTAAACAGACAACCTACATAATAGGAGAAAATATTTGCAAAGTATGCATCTAACAAAGGTCTAATATCCAGAACCTATGAGGAGCTCAAACAAATCAAGAAAAAACAAACAAATAACCCCATTAAAAAATGGGCAAAGGACATGGACAGATACTTCTCAAAAGAAGGCATACAAGTGGCCAACAAACATATGAAAAAATGTCCAACATCACTATCATCAGAGCAATGCAAATCAAAACTACAATAAGATACCACCTCACCCCAGTCAGAATGGCTATTATGAAAAGGTCAAAAAACAACAGATGCTGGTGAGGCTGTGTGTGCATAAAAGGGAATGCTTATAAACTGTTGAGGGGAATGTAAACTGGTTCAGCCACTGTGGAAAGCAATTGAAGATTTCTCAAAGAACTTAGAACTACCATTTAACCTACCAATCCCATTATTGGGCATATACCCAAGGGAAAATAAATCATTCTACCAAAAAGACACATACACTTGTATGTTCATAACAGCATTATTCGCAATAGCAAAGACATGGAATTAACCTGGGTGCTTATCAACGGTAGATTGAATTTTAAAAATGTAGTAGTAGTACATATACACCACAGAATACTACACAGCTATAGAAAAGAATGAAATCATGTCCTTTTCAGAAACATGGATGCAACTGGAGGCCATAACCCTAAGTAAATTGTTATAATATAGGAATGGAAAACCAAATACAGCTTGTTCTCACTTGTAAGTGGGAGCTAAACACTGAGTACACATTGACATAAATATGGTAACACTAGGCACTGTGAACTACTGGAAGGGGCAGGAGGGAGGGGAGATGGGTTGAAAAACTGCCTGTTAGGTAATATGCTCACTACCTGGGTGATGGAATCCATATCCTAAACATCAGCATTATTCCACATACCTGTGTAAAAACTTGCAGCTATGTCCCCTGAATATAAAATAAAATCAAAATTATTTTTTTAAAAAGAAATTGTTGTCATTACAGGAAGTGGTAGATATTTTGGGTTCTGCCTAGGCTGTTTCTGAATCAGAAGGGAGTCCATATGATTCTGTTTGACATAAGTATCCCTGCTCAAACCATTCTGGAAGGAATCAACTTTATACATGGAGACATCTGTCATCTCTCTGAGGTAGAGAAAGCCTTCCAGGATATAAATGTTACCTGTGTGTTCCATATTGTCTTTTATGTTATGTCAGGGTGGAAACAATTGAATCAAAAACTGCTTGAAGAAGTCAATGTGGGGGACACAGGCAATGTCCTCCAGGCTTGCAGGAGGATAGGAGTAATAAAATTAGTTTACACTAGTGCTTTTAATGCATATTTGGAAGTGAAATGGTCAGAAATGAAGATGAATCTGTCTTTCTTAGCTCTTCACCTCTAAAGCAATCACTACTCTCAGACAAAATTGACTATGGACAAAAAGATAGTGGAAGTAAATGGTGTTTTTCCTCCCCTACATCCCTAACATCCTGAATCCCTTCCCTTAAGTCTGTGACCACTGGGATACTTGGTCCCAGTAAGATAGCTTTCCTCCACTATGATTCCTCATCTACATGTTCAGTGTCATCAGAAGAATGATGTCCTTTTCCAGATAGCTGAATTACACAGCATTTAAATTTATCTTATTTCATTTTTTATGAGAAGTTATAATATTGGAATAAAAAGCAGAAACAAGGAAAGAGATTTTCTGAAGTATACATTTTATATGAGCCAAGGAATTAGTACCTGGAAAACTAAACTGTAATATTTAAAATTAGTTTATATATGGAGATAATTATGTTTCTTGCTAAAATGCCTATCACCCTACTGATTCTCAATTTGAAATAAGCATTATAACTTTTACATGTCTGAATATGAAATTTTACAAATTGGACAGGAGAGGCCAGAGAATTAGCTTGCTCTTTTTCCACCATGTAGGAATAAAATAAGAAATCAGCAGTCTGCAATCAGCAGTTACTGGAACTCAACCATGCTGATGCCTTGATCTTGGACTTGCCAGCCACCAGAACTATGAGAAATAAATATTTCTTGTTTAAGCCACGCAGTTTATGATAATTTATTATATCAGCCTAAACTGATTAAGACAAAAATGCTAAGAAACAGAAGGACCACATAGTAAAATTCCATAAACTGTTCTGGAATTTTATGTCTACTACTAAGGTCTAGAATCCAGTAGGTCCTCATGGATTGAATATGGCACCAGCAAGGGGGATGTGGACATGAGCCAGATCCTAACACAAAGGATATTTGCCCTCAGACCTCCTTTATGGTTCCTTCCAGGAGTGTGCAGCCCAGAATAAAGGTTTGATGGAGTGACTGGTGCCACAGGTATGAGCAATCGGCTCATAATGGGGGCAACAGTTTGGAATCAGAGAATCATGATTATTCTTGTAAATGATACTTATGGACCAAAGAGGCACATTGGGCTCAGAACATAGCATTTTTTCCCCTAGGTCTGTCAGCCTATATATCTTTTACAGGCCAGGTATGTCAAAAGTCTACATTTGGGAGAGGTCTTAAAATCCATATAATATACATTTTGTACACAATTTCAGAATTTGTAACAGATTATACTCAAGATACTGCATTTTATCTAGTGTGTTTTTACATTATAATTTCACAGGGTAACAGCTTCTCATTTTCAATGCTAGGTTACTTTTATGTGATATTCATGTTTTGTACCAATCTGGTGTTCAGATTTTATATTGCTTGATATGATTTTTTAAGTGCATAATCACTTTCTTAAAGTTTCTGTTTAAAAACTTATGGGAAGCATGACATAATATAAATTATATTAGAGATGGAATACTTAATATCCCCTAAAATACCAAATAACTTAGACCAGTATCCCAGTATTTAAATATATAGTTGATAACTCAAAGTAATTTATCACTGTTTCTCTGTAATCATTTTGATGTCACAGGTTGTTTAAGGCTTAATGATGATTAAGAACATTTAGTGAATTTATGAACACTTTAATGAATTGATTTAACATTTCAGCTGTTTATGTGCAAGGACCCATAAAATTATCAATTTAAATGACTTGAGAATTAAAATATAATAGTTTATTCTTGGAGCATCACTTTTTCTCTCTCCAGTTATTGGTCAGGCTACCAAATGCTTTTTAAAAAATCTAGGTTTTAAATATTTTTATTTATTTATTTATTTTGAGATGGAGTTTCACTCTTGTCACCCAGGCTGGAGTGCAAAGGCATTGTCTCAGCTCACTGCAACCTGCACCTCCCGGGTTCAAATGATTCTCCTGTGTCAGCCTCCTGAGTAGCTGGGATTACAGGTACCCGCCACCATGCCCCACTAATTATTGTATTTTTAGTAGGGGAAGGGTTTCACCATGTTGGCCAGGCCGGTCTCAAACTCCTGACCTCAGGTGATCCGCCCCAGTTGGCCTCCCAAAGTGCTGGGATTACAGGCGTGAACCACCATGCCAGCCTAGATATTTTTACATGAGATTGTGGATGATAATCTCATTTTGGGTAGATTTGTATTCTGGGTAGATTTTTATCAGGGATCCTGATTTAAAAAGAAAAAAATAAATTTTTTTTCTGGTTATGATTAGCATTTTTCATTAATTACCACCTATTTTAGTTAAGGTAGCTCCATTTAATTCATACAACATTTTATTTGTAGTGCATGGTGCAATTAAAACAATAGTTACAATGTCATGAAGGACCTGCGCCAAGAATCACATGACACCACATAGCCATCAGTACCTATGACAATGCTACTTTTAAATTCTCATTTTTTAATGAGAATATTGAGGCTCCAAGATGTTAAGTAACTTTCCCAAGAATACACAGCTAGTAGATTCAGATTTATAAGGCCACAAAGCCTGGGTTCTCAGTTACTACTCTGCTCACTGGAACTTGTGGGAGCAAATTCTGATCAATTTATAAGCTCTTCTTCCCCAAAAGATCTTAGCTTGGAGAAGAAGGAGACCTCTATACTGCAGAGCTAAAGTTTTGAGTAGGTTGTGCTTGACTTCTGAGGCATGTGACATGTGAATAAAACTGGTTTTATGAAGGTAAAATCATCAGCATTTCCATGGAGCATCTTGTGTTTCTCAGGGCATGGGAACCAACCATCTGCAGTAAAAAGTAAATTTTTAACTCATAAGTCAATGGAATTGTTGTGGGTATGGATATCACCATATTATTTGGCAGGTGATTCTTATTGAAATATCATAAAGGGCAAGTATTGTGACAACTTTTCTCCATGATTAATAAAACAAACAGATAATCTTTATAATACTAATCATTGCTGTTTCTTTATAAAATGTTCTTGATTACTTAAAGTACTATTAAATTAAAAATCAGATTTTTGCAACATGTAGAAGGCTCTTTTAAAAAAACTGTAATATTATTCTATATTGTATTTCTCTAGGTATAATATCACATCACCATAATCTGCATGGTCTAATAAAATAGTAAACTGTTTCCCAATAAATAGCTTTCCCACAATATGGAAACATTGGCAATGTTTTGTTTTGTTTTTTTGTTTGTTTTGTTTTGAGATGGAGTCTCGCTCTGTCACCCAGACTGGAGTGCAGTGGCATGATCTCGGCTCACTACTACTTCCGCCTTCTGGGTTCAAGCGATTCTGCTGCCTCCACCTTCTGGGTTCAAGCGATTCTCCTGCCTCAGCCTCCTGATTAGCTGGGACTACAGGCATGTGCCACTACACCAGGCCAATTTTTTTGTATTTTTAGTAGAGATGAGGTTTCACCGTGTTAGCCAGGGTGATCTGGAACTCCTGACCTTGTGATCCGCCTGCCTCAGCCTCCCAAAGTGCTGGGATTACACGCATGAGCCACCACATCCAGCCGGCAATGTTTTTTAACATGTAGTTTAGTCTTCAGACCCTCTCAAATTACTTACTGAATTAAAGTATGCCTTTTATAAGAAACAACATTCAGTAATATAAAAATAAACTCTCATGTCTTCTTTACTTTCCATTTAATTTAAGGTACATTTTGGAGGACATTCTTGTGCTTACTTCATGTAACCTCACTTGCTTTTAGGTGAATTCAAAATTCTGATGTTAATCCCTTGTATTAGGGTTCTCTAGAGGAACAGAAGTAATAGGATATATGTATATACGAAAGGGAATTTATTAAGGAGTATTGACTCAGACGATCACAAGGTAAAATTCCAGGATAGGCTGTCTGCAAGTTGAGGAGCAAGCAAGCCAGTGGTGGTTCCGTCTGAGTCCCCAAACCTCAAAAGTAGGGAAGCTGACAGCGCAGCCTTCAGTCTGTGGCCAAAGGCTCAAGAGCCCCTGGAAAACCACTGGTGTAAGTCCAAGAGTCCAAAAGCTGAAGAACTTGGAGTCTGATGTTCGAGGGCAGGAAGCATCCAGCACAGGAGAAAGATGAAAGCTGGAAGACTCAGTAGTCTGCTCTTCCATCTTCTCCTGCCTCCTCGCTGGCAGCTGATTAGATGGTGCCCACCAGATTGAGGGTGGATCTGCCTCTCCCAGACCACTGACTCAAATGTTAATTTCCTTTGGCAACACCTTCACAGACACACCCAGGAACAATACTTTGCATCCTTCAATCTAATCAAGTTGACACTCAATATTAACCATCTTCTTACTGAGCAGTTAACTCATAATAACACTGCCAAAGAGAACTCTAACAGTTAACAGAAGCATTGTTTGTTGTCCTAAGTCTGTCATAATATTCTGTATAACCTTTGAAGAAACATTTAAATTTTCCTCTTTCAAGTAATGAAATGTGCATTCCTTAAATTGAAAGAACATGAGCCTCCTTGATGCGTTGCATGACATGGTGGGAAAGGTGAGCCCCTGAGTCAGAGGACTCATCCCGGATCCCATTCTCTCACAGGCTTGTGAAAGCAGAAGTCACCTTCCTTCTGACCTTGGCATGTATCCTGCTTCAAGAATGGAACTGGAGGCATATCTATTCTGATTACAAAGAAAATTTAAGTCATTCTCCTATAGAATTTTAATTTCAATCATTGTTTTAGGAATTTGCAAATATATGGCTTGCTTTGTCTTAACTAATAGAAAAAGTGTCCTTTTTCAAAAAGAGAAGTGTTAATGTAATGATAATAGTAATGACTTCACAGAGTGTGTGTTCTGTTCCAAGCACTTTAAGCATATTAACAATTTAATCCTCACAGTAATCCTTGGAGGATGATATCATCCTGATTTTGCAAGTGAGACAACTGAGGCACAGAAAGGCCAAGCCTTATATAGCAGAGCTGGTATTTGAACCCAGGATGTCTGGCTCTTAATGCTGTTAGTTTACATTCTTAACTGTGGGCCAGATGTGTGTAACTGACTATCAAACGTGGTTCTGACACAAAACTCTACATCTAAATTCCAATCTCCATTTTACATTTCTGCTAACCTGATGGGGGAAAAACTTTTATTTTAATATGACCAGGGATCCACATTTTGAAAAATATTGCCAGTGCAGTCCTGACAGCCACTTCTTCATTCTTAAGCACCTGGGAGGAAACTGTTCAGAAGTGGTGTGTTATGAAATGGTAAAATCAGCTCTGCCCTTGCTGATGAATCCAGAATAATTACCAATGACTAAGTCCAGCCTCATGACCACTTTCTTGAGTGACATTGAGTTTGCATCCTAATTTGAAGTTTACAATTCTGGCAAGATATTGGACAGCTGCATGGATAATTTTGTTCACAAATATAGATGCAAAACTCTATGCTGCGTTAAAGCTATTTTAAAGAGCATACTTTAGGACTAGTGTTTATTTCCTTGTGTCTAAATTTCCTGTTTTGCATTTGCTTCAGCTAAGATTGTTTTGGGCTAAACTTATCTTCCTACACAGACCCTTGGTATCATGTAAATCAAAATAATCATAGGCATATTTAATTATATGACATTTGTTGTCTCTACACTAAAGTTTTTCTAACATTCTTAAATTTTGTCTACATAATGAATATATTTTTAACAGAAAAATCTATAGGTTTGATTGCCTGCTTATTTAAATAAAAAGAGAAAGAAGAGGTAGAAGAACTATGAACTCTTTATTGGTTGCCAAGCAATAAAAATACTTTTTTGGGAAAAAACTAAACCCCATTGTTTCCTTGAATGTGCTTGTTCTTTCAGCTCAGTCCTAAGAGTGGATGATTACTGAGCACAGGGCCCTGAGATGAACTGAGGGACTCGCATCTCATTCAAGCCTCACAAAGCAGTGGAAGGATTAACGTTTTCTTCATTTTATAAAGAGCACACTGAGACTAAGAATGGTTGATTAGTTTGCCCAAGTTCTCAAGAGTAGTAAAATTTTGAGCCGTTAATTTAAAACAGACCATCTGGAGGTAGACTAGAGCTGAGAATGATCTCAATTAAAGGAAGGAATTCTGTCACTTTGTGGAGTTTTATGAAGAGATAAGATAGAAACCAACCTACTGAGTATTAAACAAAAGGCTATTTCCCGAAAACATCCTTCCACATTCATTCTTCAATCAGTAAAATTTTACTACCATTAAGGCAGAAAAAGGGTTAGACACAATTCCTTCCTTCAAGAAGTTTAGAGGTTAATGGGGACACTACAATATTCGTGACATAACTTAAAAGCTACATAAAAACAGTATAGAAAGGTAAAGATTTCTCTGTGAAAGAGGTATAAAAAAGAAAATATTTTCCTCATGGTAAGCTTGAAGTTTCTTCCTCCCTGGGAGGCTTAAAAGAGTCTTCGTGATGGAGATCTAGAATCCATCTTTAGTTGGTTAGTGTGTGCACATATGAGAGGGAAGGCCATGCTGGGCCTGATCCAAGAATGAGGCTGGAAATGGGTGTACTTTTAAGAAAATGAATAAATAAATAAATGATCTTGTTTGCCTAGGAGCCTGCAAGGGACTAATGGAAGCTGTGAATAGAAAGACCCTTTGGAACCAATTTGGAGATGTCCTTGAAAACGAGGGGAGTATAGAATTTTCTCCAAAAGAAGATAAGAAACCTTTAAAGGATCGTATCTGCGGAGGGGCAAGATAGTAACAAAATCTTCGAGGAGGGAATAAGCCCTTACTTCACCGCTGTTCACCTTGTTTGAAGGCTTACCTTTCACAGCATGGGCCCCTGCTCCTGGCCCTCCCCATCACCTAGGCAGAGTTTCACTCTTAGCCTCTGTCAAGTGTGATCACCAGCTGACTTATCTATCTCTTCTTTTTTTTTTTTTTTTTTTTTTTTTTTTTTTTGAGACGGAGTCTCACTCTGTCACCCAGGCTGGAGTGCAGTGGCGCGATCTCGGCTCACTGCAAGCTCCATCTCCCAGGTTCATGCCATTCTCCTGCCTCAGCCTCCCGAGTAGCTGGGACTACAGGCGCCCACCACCATGCCCAGCTAATTTTTTGTATTTTTAATAGAGACAGGGTTTCACCGTGTTAGCCAGGATGGTCTTGATCTCCTGACCTCATGATCCACCCACCTTGGCCTCCCAAAGTTCTGGGATTACAGGCGTGAGCCACCGTGCCTGGCCATCTATCTCTTCTTATCAGTGATTGGGCAGTCTTGATACTGAGCTTCCCAGCTGTGGACCCACAACTAAATTAATGTAAGACCCAAAGATCTGAAACGCCCTTTAAGATGCCACCCTTGAGAATAAAGAATGTTAGATACCAGCAGAGGTTTATGCAAGAAGAAGATGGAGTGGTGGAGAAAAACTGGGAGTAAGAAAATTAAAGGAAGAGAAAATAATAAAAAAGAACAGTGATCATTTGTATTAAATAATGAGAGTGAAAATAGGGCTAACAGTATTTTACAGGTGCAGTGGATCACAGGTTGTTGACATGTAACCAACAAGAATTGGACGATATGGCTGCAACCCTTTGTCTGCAAAAGCTCACATGTATTGGCTAGTAATGTTCAAGTAATTAAGAGGACATTAATCAGTTAAATATCTACCCACACATGTTTTCTCTAAAAAAATTCAAGTCTCCATTTTTTTTCTGTCTAATACTTCTGACTTCAAGGATAGAGTCAAGAGAACTGGGACCAGGAATTGCAACTATTGCAATGAGGCAAATCCCCACAATGTCCCAGGTCAGAGAGTCAAGAGAGAGGCAGCTAAACAATGGGACTGTACCCACCTATGACATGACCTTTTAAAACAGCTCTTTTTTTGTGCTTCTTTAGATGGATAGAAGTGAACTTATATCTATGCTTTGATTTTTGCAAAATTCTTAGTCTGTAAAAGATATAGTTGTGACTAGGAGACTAACTCTCATTTGCCTCAGTCCTAAATTCAGTGTGTTCAGTATAACATTGAGGAAATAAAAATCATAATAATGATTTCAAAAGTGACATATTAACTCCATATTTTTGAAAGAAAGTGTGGTCAGGCTCTGTGCTAAAAGAAATTCTACCTACTGATGTTGCAAAAGCATGTCATAAGATGATCTTTATAATGAAAACTAGATTTCTGTGAATGTGCAATGACTTTTGGGTCCTTTTCTTTCCATATTCAAATCTTATTTCACTTCTGTGAGATTTCCCCTTATTTATGGGTTTCTTTAATCATATGCATATATTTTTTATGTTGAAATCTAGTAAAGGTATAAGCTTTTGTTTCATTTTTAGCATGGACCTAAGAAGCTCTTCCATCATAATCTATGGCTTTCATTATTGATTCTGTTTATAGACAGGATATAAATATAATATGAAAATCAAAAACAAGTTTTAAACAAAAATTGTTTTTAAAATTAGATTTTTCTCTTCAACTTAAATATTTTACCCTTCCAAAGGGCGAGGGAAGGAGGAAAGATGAAATTAGCAGAATTAATGTAGAAATAAAATGTTTGGAGCAGAGCTTGGGCTTTTTCCCATAGAGTGAATACTAAATTTTATCAGTATAATGATCCATCACAGTTTAAAGAAGCAACACATTTTCCAATTACAATGATAACTTTTAACATATCCAACATTTTAACATCTCTGTATCTTCTAATACATTAGATTTGAAAAATTCTGTAGTGATTGCTTGTCTCAGCATTTTGCAAACATCATCCTTGCTGTACCAAAACAGAGTTCGCCAATTTTGGAAAGATGTGTGAGTGGCTGAACCTCTTCTGGGACTGGACAATGGACAGCAACTACTATACGTGCAAGTAGTTGTTCTCTGGTGGGCTGAAACAGTTACTCACATCACTTCCCATGCTCTGAGGTTCAGATGAGGAGCCCTGGTAGAGAAAGGCAGCTCTAGATCTTTGTAAGAAGGTAATAAGACACCAAACTGTGCCCTTCAATGGAAAGTATTAATATAATACATCTCTCCAAGGAAGGGCTGACAATGGGAGTTGAAAGCCACCAGACAGCAAGTGCAGGGTGCAAACTCTGTGGCTCTCAAAATGAGTGGGAAGGTAGTTACACAAAGTTGGTGCCCCCATACTTGTCTGGAGGCCTAGCTGAGGAACCAATCCTAGCATGCTCCTCCCATCATCATGGCCACTCTAGGAACCAGCCCTAGCCACAGCCCTACTAGGCAAGAGTTGTCATGCTTCTTTTACAAACTTCGAGTAGATTTAAAGTTTTCCTTTTGTCTTCTTCACCAGAGAAAGAAAAAGTTTACTTTTGGACAGGTTGCATTAAAGCACTTTAGATATTCTCTTTTCTCTGGTGGAAGCCCGTATCTTAGGAGACATGGGGAGCCTGCTGCTGGCTCACCTGTCACAGAACTGGATCGTGAAGATTTCATCTGGTTTTTCCCAGGTGGGCATTTTAAATTTCTGCTTCAAAGTCTGTCTTTGTACTTTTAATAAATAAGACATTTGTACTGATGGAATCTGCAAGACAGGCTTGAAGGAAAAAATAAGTGTCTCAAAGTGAAAGTCTGTTTCTTTTTACGTGAACAGTCATGTAAAAAATGTATTAAAAATAGCCTTTTTGACTTGGAGATCTATTATGTTCAGTAGCTAAACTATAACACAGAAGACCACATGGAGCACATACATGAAATATTGTTGAGGTGGCCATTTGGAGTCCTGGGTTCTAGTAAGGACTCCACTTCAATTGGCCGCATGATCCAAGGACAGGCATATCACTTCTCCAGGACTTAGGGTCTTCATCTCTAAAGTGAAGGCTGAACATAACAGGTACCCTTAAAGCTGCAAAGCATCACACAACATTTCACACCTGTTTACCCTCTCATTCTCTTAGATAACACTTTTTCTCTCTTTTCTCTTTCCTCGAAATGCCAGTGTCTCTTCTCCCAGTCTCATTCTTAGCTCCCTACTTCACCAGAAAACTGAAGCAATCAAAAAAGAATGTCCATGAGCTTCCAACATCACATTGGCTTATGGCTGTGATCTGAATGTGTCTCCTCCATAATTCAGGTATTGAAACTTAATGGCCAATGTGACAGTATTAAAAGATGGGCCTTTAAGGCCATGCGGGCTCCTCCCTCATCAAGGGGATAAAGGTCTTTCTAACAGAGGCTTCACACAGCATCTGGCTCTCTTGCCGTGCTACCTTCTGCCAGGTGAGAATGCAGCGAAAAGGACCGCACCAGATGCCAAAAGGACCTCACTGTCTCCTTGATCCTGAATTTGTCAGCCTCTAGAACTGTGAGAAAATAAACTTCTTTTCTTTTCTTTTTTTTTTTTTTTGAGACAGAGTTTCACTCTTGTTGCTCAGGCTGGAATGCAATGACATAATCTCGGCTCACTGTAACCTCCACCTCCCAAGTTCAAGGGATTCTCCTGCTTCAGCCTCCCAAGTAGTGGGCATTACAGGTGTGCGCCACCTCGCCTAGCTAATTTTGTATTTTTAGTAGAGACAGGGTTTCACCATGTTGGTTAGGCTGGTCTCAAACTCCTGACCTCAAGTGATCCACGGCCTTGGCCTCCCAATGTGCTGGGATTACAGGCATGAGTCACTGCACCCAGCCAATTTCTTTTTTTACACATTACTCAGGCTGTGGTATTCTGTTATAATAGCACGAATAGACTGAGACCAAAATTGATACCAGGAGAATGGAGTGTTGCTACAACAAATACCTGAAAATGTAGAAGCAGCTTTGGAACTGAGTAATGGGTAGAGGCTGGAACCGTTTTAAAGGGAATGCTGAAAAAGCCTGTATGGCCCAACATGGCACATTAAGGGTGATTCTGGTGAGGGCTCAGAACAAAAGGAGAGCTGTAGGGAAAGCCTGAACCTTCTTAGTTTATCTTAGACAAGTTCTTATATTATCTCAGTGGTTGTGACCAGAATACTGGTAGAAATATGGACAGTGAGGGCCTTTATTATGGTATCTTAAAGAGAAATCAGAAACACCTTACTGGAAACTGGAAGAAAGGCCATCATGGTTACAAAGTAGCCAAGAAGTTGGCTGAATTATGTTCCTGCCTCAGTATTTTGTGGGAGGTAGAACTTAAGAGTGATGAACTAGGATACTTGATGGAAGAAATCTCTAAGCAGCAAAATGTTGAAGGAATTGCACGGCTTCTCTTAACTGCTCATAGCAAAATGCAAAAAGAGAGAAATGACTTAAAGATGGAATTTATAATCAAAAGGGAAGCTCTCACATGTAAAGAATGTAAAGATTTGAAAAATTCTCAGCCTGGCCATGTAAATAATAAAAAAGCATGTTTAGTAGAGAAAACCAAGGGTGTGCCCAATTGACAGTCTGATAAGCAGATTAGTGTGAATAGCAGGAAGCCAGGAACAATTTATCAAGATAATGGGAAAATGACCGCGAAGACATTTCAGAGATCTTTGAGGCCGCCACATTCTTCACAGGCAGAGTGCTAGGGCCTTGGGGGCAGAACAGGTTTGAGGGAGGGGCCCAGGGTGCCCATGGGAACTTGAGGCTTACCATCCAGGGCAGCCTCAAATCTCTGCTCCCTGCATTCTGGCACAGTGCTCCTTGGCTGTCCCAGCTATGGCTCAAGCAGGCCCAGGTGTGGCTCAAGTCACTGCTTCAGGAGGTACAGGCCATAGCACTTGGCAGCATCCATGTAGTGCGAACTCTGCAAGTGCACAGAGTTCAGGAGCTTTGAAGGCTTAGCTTCCTCCCCTAGGTTTCAGAGAATGCCTCAGAGTGTCTCCACCAGAGGTATGCACAGTGGAGCTGTGTGAGTGGGGCCACCTCAGAGAGTACTCACTAACACAAAATCTAGTGGAACTATGGGGGTAGGGCCATGCTGGAGACCTCCACATTTTAGAGTCACCAGCATGCAATGCCAGAGTGAAAGAGCTGCAGGCAGGAGACTCCAACCCATGAGGGCTGTGGTGTGGGCTGTGCCCAGCAAAGCTATGGGGCTGTGGCCTTTGGAGCCTTGGGGATCCAACCCCTGCCCCAGTCTGCCTTGAAGGTAAAACATGAGTCAAATAAAATTATTCTCAAGCCTTAAGATCTAATGTTGTTTGCCCTTTTGGGTTTTGGATTTACTCAGAACTTGTTACCCCTTTCTTTTAACCAATTTCTGCCTTTCAGGATGGGAATGTCTATCCCACACCTATACCACCATTGTGTTTTTGGAAGCTAATAACTTATTCGACTTTGCAGCCTCATTGCTGGAGGGAAATTTGCTTCAGGATGAATTGTTCCTTGAGTCTCACTCATACCTGATTTACATAAACCTCTGGACTTTAGACTTTTGAGTTGTTGTTGGAATGAATGAAAACTTCTGGGGCTATTGGGATGGAATTAATAATGTATTTTGCACATGAGAAGGATATGAATTTTGAGTGGCCAGAGAAGAATGCTATGATTTGAATGTATTTCTGCCAAAATTAATATGTTGAAACTTAATGAAGAATGTGATCATATTGAGAGGTGAGGCCTTTAAGAGGAATTAGGCCATGAGGATTCCTCCTCCATGAATAGGATTAAGGACTGTCTTAGTCCATTTTATGCTGTTACACAGAATACCACAGACTGGGTAATTTATAATAAACAGAAATTTATTGGTTCACTATTCTGGAGCTGGAAAGTCCAAGATCAAGGGGCTGACTCCTGCCTAGGGCCTTCATGTGTGTCCTTTCATCGTGAAGGGCATAAAAAAGGGGTGAGAGAGAAAAAAGCAGGCCAAATAGGTCCTTTTATAGGGAGCCCATTCCCACAATAGCAGCATTAATCCATTTATGAAGGCAGAGCCCTCATAGTGTAATCACCTCTTAATACTATTTTAATGATAATTAAGTTTCTAACACATGATTTTTGGGAGGACACATTCAAACTGCAGCAAAGCCCTTAAAAAAGAGGCTAAATGCAGCATTTGGCTCTCTTGCCCTTCTGCCTTCTGTCATGTGCACAGGCAGCAAGAAGGGCCTCACCAGATATCAAATTCTGGCATCTTGATTTCGGGCTTCACAGCTTTTATACCTGTGAAAAAATTAATCACGCAATCTGTGGTCATCTGTCACAGCAGCACAAAATGAACAAAGACACTTACCCACCAGTACCTACACCCACAGAGTCTGCCTTCTCACCTTTTAACTTAGACTAACTACCCTTACTCATATACGAAGCTCATACTTCACCTATTCAAAAATAGAAGTCGCAAGATTAGCTCACCTCTGGCCTTTGGATTTTTCCTTGGAAAATTCTATTAACATCCAGTCATGCTATATTCCCTATCCTTAAGGGCATGACAACAATAGAACACAAACAAAAAGAAACTTTTCTTGGCTTTACTTTCTCTGCCAGCTCCTGTCCCATTTCTATTCTCTTTTGCAACACAATTCCTTGAAGGAGTTATCCACACTCTTTTAAAATATTTTTCTCTGTTATTCTTGTAAACACAGTCCAATCAGATTTTTCAGCACTTCCCCTACACTGCTCTTGTCAAAGTGTCCAACAAATCTCACATTGCTAAAATCAGTGGTCAACTCTCAATTCTCACATTACTCACACTATCTGCAGCATCTGATATAATTGATTACGACTCCTCCTTGTTAATTTTTTTTCTTGTTTCAGTCAGTCTTTTGGCATGAGTTCCATCCATATGCCACTGACTTCCAAATGTGGCTCTCTAGCCAACACCTCTCTCCCAAACTGCAAACTAAAATTCCAAAAGGCTTATTTGACTCTTTTTAGATGTCTTAGAGATATCTCAAACTTACCAATGTTCAAACCTGAACTCCTGATCTTTGCATTCAAAACTTTGTTTACCTGTAAACTTCCTAATCTCATCTGGTGGAAACTCCATTCTCACACTTGCTTACACCAAATATTTAAGAGTCAGGCTCATTTGGTGGTCTCTTATGAGCTCACACTTGCAGTTTCACTCCTATGGAGCTCAGCCAGGGCTAGAACTTCCATTATGGTTTAAATCATATGGCTGGTAGTTGTGCTGACTATTGGCTGACTCTGGGGCTCTGTTCTCCTCCGTCAGTCTAGCTTAGCTTTCTATCAGCATGGCAGCTGCATTCCAAGACATAAAAAATGGAAGGTGTGGGGATTCTTGAAGTTTTGTCTTTGGAGTTGCACATTGTCATTTCTACCACATGATATTGGTTAAAGCAACTCATAAGATTAGTCCAGATTTAAGGGGAGGTAAGATAGAGTCTATGTCTTGATGGAAAAGTGGAAAAGTCATATTGCAAAAGGTCATGTAAGATAGAATGGAGTGTTGCAGTCATCTTTGGAAACAATCGACCGTATAGGACATCTTCAAATTACAAAATAAGCTACTTGCCCTAGAATGTGCCCTCTTTCCCCTTCTGTTACAAGCACATGACCCAGCTGTGATTAGGCAGATATGGACCATACCCTGGGGCATGGAACAGCAAAAAGTTGAAAGAAACCTGTACTCGGATAATCATGCAAAGCTGAGTTGCTCATCCCATGACTGTTAGGTAAAGACAAAAAACTTTCTTCCATCTCCCTTTCTACCCGTTCCCTTTCACCCTCACCCCTTGTATCTTTGATGTTCCCTAAACTGGCCAGGCACTCTCCAGCCTTAGTCCTTTTAATTGTTCTGTCCACCTGAAACATTCTTTCCACAAATATCTACAGAGCTTGCTTCTTCACTTCATGCAAGGGTTTATTTAAATATCACCCACTTAATAAAGTATTTTTGACCACACTTTTTAAAATAAAAATCCATGACTAATGAAGACTGACACACATTTAGTCCTTTGAACAATACCTAGATAAAAATGTCTGTGGAGTGAAAAGAATAAATGCTGACTTTGCTGTTTACTGGTTTTCTTCAGGAAAGTCTCATTATTTCTCAGACTACTTCATCAGAAAATGGAGATAACAATGGCTTTCTGGCCGGGCGCGGTGGCTCACGCCTGTAATCCCAGCACTTTGGGAGGCCGAGGCGGGCGGATCACGAGGTCAGGAGATCGAGACCATCCCGGCTAAAACGGTGAAACCCCGTCTCTACTAAAAATACAAAAAATTAGCCGGGCGTAGTGGCGCGCGCCTGTAGTCCCAGCTACTTGGGAGGCTGAGGCAGGAGAATGGCGTGAACCCGGGAGGCGGAGCTTGCAGTGAGCCGAGATCCCGCCACTACACTCCAGCCTGGGCGACAGAGCGAGACTCCGTCTCAAAAAAAAAAAAAAAAAAAAACAATGGCTTTCTTTTACGGTCATTGTGAAACTTAGATGGCCCCGTGTTTGAGAAGTCCTCCTTATGAGGTCGCCCTCATGATTGCTCTTCACTTGAGTTCAGGCTCCCGCTCTTTGTCACTCCCCTTTGTGGAGACAGACAGACTTTCTGGAGCTGACTAACCTCTCACTACCCAACCCACATCTGGCTACAGGGGAAAGAACACTGTCACAGGAACTAGGCTGGTTGTACCATCCCCACAAGAGTGTATTCAGATTCTTCTTGAGAAGAGTCTAGAATTGCACCAGAACTCTGATCCCCAGCCCAAAAGCTTGCATCAATGTGGTATTTTTATAAACATGTACATAGTGAAATGACTACCATAATCAAGCTAATTAGCATATCCATCACCTCACATATTTACCTTCCTTTTTTATTGTATGAGAACTCTTAGGATCTATTCTCTTAGCAAATTCCAAGTATACAATACAGTATTATTAACAATAGTCACCATGCTATACATTAGATCTCCAGGACTTATTTCTCTTGCATAACTGAAATTGGACCCTTTACTCAACGTCTCCCAATTTCCCCTACCCCCAACCCCTGGCAAACATTATTCTACGCTCTGCTACCTGGATATTTTGTCTCTCTATGTACATTTTAGATTGCATAAAATAATTTGCTGTTGTAATGAATGGCATTGCACTGGATCCACAAATCAAGTTAGAAAGACATCTTGACAACATTGAGTCTCTCTATCCATGTATATGGAATAGCTCTCCATGTATTTAGTTCTTTGATTTCTTTCCTCAGCTTTATAGCTTTCCTCATATAGATCTTATACAAATTTGGTAGATGTATACCTATGTTTTTAATTTCTAGGGGTGCTAATGTAAATGATATTCTGTTTTTAATTTCAAATTCCACTTGTTTATTGCTGATGTATAGGAAAGTGATTGATTTTTTGATATTAGCTGTGCTCTTATTTTTATTTCCCTCATTTTCCTTGTTTTGAATTTACTTTGTTCTTCTTTCTTATTTCTTGAGTAGGAACTTAGAGTATTGACTTGAGGACACAAATGATGCTGAATAGCCAAAACAATATTTAGCAAAAAGAACGAAGCTGGAGGCATTATACTCCCTGATTTCAGAACATGTTATAAAGTGATATTAATTAAAACCACATAGGTACTCCTATAAAAACAGACACATTGACCAATGGAACAGGATAGAAAGCCCAGAAATAAACCCAGCCATTTGATTTTTGACAAAGGTTCCTAGAACACACAGTGGGGAAAGCACAGCCTTCTCAATAAATGCTGTGGGAAAAACTGAGTATCCGCATGTAGAAGAATGAAATGAGATCCTTATATCATACCATATACAAAAATTAACTCTAAATTGATGAAAGACTTAAATATAAGACTTGAAACTGGAAAACTATTACATGAAAACAGAGAAAATGCTCCAAGATATGGGTTTGATCAGCAATTTTTTGGATATAACCCTGAAAGCATAGGGAACAAAAGCAAAAATAAACAAATGGGATGACATCAAGATTAACTAACTTAATTATATTATTTGATGAATAGAAGTCATTAATTTATAGAAGTTCAATTTAATAAACTTTAAAAATATTTGGTGTCTTTTTGGTCCTGTTTAAGAAATCTTTGCCTATCTCAAGGTCATGGAAGATATTTTGTACTTTTTTGTTATAGAATTTGTATTGTTTTTACTGTCCAAGCTTCCACATTGTGGCCTATGATCCATCCTGAATAAATGTTGCTAAAAATTAAACTTTGACTTAGCTTACTATAAATGATATTTATATTTATGTATTACATAATTTATTTACATATTCTCATATGTATTACATATGAGAATTATTTTACTATAAACACTATAATTAAGGCAGAATAGATATTTTAGATACATATTCCTGAAGATGCCACTTCCATTCAACGGACAAAAAGATAGTCTTTTCCATAAAATTTACTAGGTCAGTTAGATATCTGTAGGTGTGGTGGGTAATTTTGTCTTTAAACTTGGCTGGGCCACAGTGCCCAGATATTTGGTCAAACATTATTCTGAATGTTTCTGTCAAGATTTTTTCGTTTGGATAAGAACAATACATAAATCAGTGGACTTAGGGTTTGCACATTACCCTCCATAGTGTGGAAGGGCCTTCTCCAATCAGTTGAAAGACTTAATAGAGCAAAGACTGGCCGGGCACGGTGGCTCACGCCTGTAATCCCAGCACTTTGGGAGGCTGAGGTGGGCAGATCAAGAGGCCAGGAGATAGAGACCATCCTGGCTAACACGGTGAAACCCCATCTCTACTAAAAATACAAAAAATTAGCCGGGCGTGGTGGCAGGCGCCTGTTGTCCCAGCTACTCAGGAGGCTGAGGCAGAAGAATGGTGTGAACCTGGGAGGTGGAGCTTGCAGTGAGCTGAGATGCCACTGCACTCCAGCCTGGGCGACAGAGCAAGACTCTGTCTCAAAAAATAATAATAATAATAATAATAATAATAGAGCAAAGACTGACACTTCCTGAGCAAGGAGGAATTCTGCTAGTAGACTGCCTTTGGAGTCAAACTGCAACTCTTCCCTGGGTCTCGAGCCTGCTGGCCTAACCTGTAGATTTTGGATTAACCAAGCCCTTACAATTGTGTAAGCCAATTTTAAAAAATAAATCTCTTGATATAGATAGGTAGATAGATACATAGACGGACAGATAGACATTCTGCTGTTCTGCTGGTTCTCTTTTCCTGGAGAACCCTGACTAATACAATGGGGAAAAACATGTATCTTGACCTGCACTTCACCATGCACAAAAATTAATTTAAAATGAATCATAGTATCCTGCTCATTTTTAATTCTTCAGATAAAAATTTACCTACTATATCTTTAGAATAAACTTTTAATTAAAGTTAATTAAAATTAACTTTTAATTTTATTTTTATGTTTTTTTCTCTCCCTTGTGAAACAGTAGTATACTTGAAAACAGGAGAATTTTTTTTTATGTTACCAACGCAGTGCCTGGTAACAAATTTTTAGAGGCTACTATGTGTCAGGCTCTGTGATAAGCATTTTAAGCACTTTACTTCCGTAAGTCCTCGGAATAATCATACCCTCTTATATAAGTATTATTATGACCACCAAATCACAGATAAGAAAACAAGCATTAGAGAGAAATTAAGTCCAACTGATTCTAAATGCAGGAAGCTTGTACACTAGGTCTCCCTACATGGCTCCTCAATAAATAAATTAATTAAGAAATAAGAAGGGGCTGAGCACAGTGGCTCAAGCCTGTAATCCCAGCACTTTGGGAGGCCTAGGCAGGCAGATCACGAGGTCAGGAGATCGAGACCATCCTGACTAACATGGTGAAACCCCGTGTCTACTAAAAACACAAAAAAATTAGCCGGGCGTGGTGGCGGGTGCCTGTAGTCCCAGCTACTCGGGAGGCTGAGGCAGGAGAATGGCATGAACCCGGGAGGCGGAGCTTGCAGTGAGCCGAGATCTTGCCACTGCACTCCAGGCTGGGCGATAGAGCAAGACTCCGTCTCAAAAAAAAAAAAAAAAGAAAGAAGATGGGCTTAAAGTTTCATAAAATAGGCCGGGCGCGGTGGCTCACGCCTGTAATCCCAGCACTTTGGGAGGCCGAGGTGGGTGGATCATGAGGTCAGGAGATCGAGACCATCCTGGCTAACAAGGTGAAACCCCGTCTCTACTAAAAATACAAAAAAATTAGCCGGGCGCGGTGGCGGGCGCCTGTAGTCCCAGCTACTGGGGAGGCTGAGGCAGGAGAATGGCATGAACCCGGGAAGCGGAGCTTGCAGTGAGCCGAGATTGCGCCACTGCAGTCCGCAGTCCGGCCTGGGCGACAGAGCGAGACTCCGTCTCAAAAAAAAAAAAAAAAAAAAAAAACAACTCCTAGGGGAAATAAGAGGGATGCTGGGAGGGCTTTTTATTTGAGTGCCACTGTGGTCTTACTGATTTGAGTGCCCACTTGTTTCGGAATTTAGGGTGTGGGAGTGACCAAGGAGCACAGTGACTAGAGGGAACTAGAAACAAAATAGACATTGTTCACTTTGGTTGCTAAATTTAATATGTCCCTATTGCACTTTTTGTTTTGGGAAATTTTTCCAACATTAAGAAAAGCCCTTTTAAAGAAGAGTGTTAAAACATTGGTTACATGAGAACCAAGGAGGATTCACCTTACAAGGTGAAATTATGTGTTTTATTCAATTTTCACACTACTATAAAGAAATACCTGAGACTGTGTAATTTATAAATGAAAGAGGAGTTTTTTGTTTTGTTTTGTTTTCACTCAAAATTCTTCAGTTTTTACAAAACTAACAGGGTGGAGTGGGGAGGCTGGGGGGCAGGCAGCCTCAGGAGTAGGGCTGGTGAGAAGCGCTATGCTTCTGTCTCCACCTGAGACTGGCTCCCGCCGTGTTGCTCTTGCACTCCGCCTTCATCTCTGTGTCAGTGGGATGGTCTCCTGAGCAAGCCTCTGCCTTGGCCTTGTTCTCCTCCTCAGCCAGCCTCTCAAACATTTTGGCATAGAACTTCTCCCAGGCAAGCTGCCTGTGGATCCGCTGCTGACCCACAGCCAGCTGGGCCCTGGCGGCTTTGTCGTTGGGGTAGAGCTGCAGGACCTTCTGGAAGTCAGCCCATGCCAGTTCAAAGTCATTCACCGCCAGGTGGGCCTCTCCCCGGCGGAAGGGGCCCTTCTCGTTGTTGCTGCCCAGTTCTAGGGCATTGTTACAACTTTCAATGGCAGCAGAGAAGGCCTGTAGTTTCAGCTGACACATGGCCAGGTCGAGGTGAGAGGCCAGTCGAAGGGCCTGTGCCTTCTGTGCTTCCTCATTGGAAAAACTAGACTCATATTCCAGCCAGGACACAATCTTCTTACACTGTAGTAAAGCTTGCTTGTATTTGCCTTCCTTGAAGTACACACTGCCCTGCTCTTTCACTATGGTGTTCTGTTCCAGCTTCTCTTCTGAAATCATCTCCCAAGATTCCTTGGCCTTTTCAAAACTCTTGAGATGTAATTCATATTTCAGCTCGGCATTTGGTGGGATTTGGAACTTTTCCTTCCCAACACTGCCAAAAGCATAGCTGGGCTTGAGGTACACAGTGGAATGTTCTCCTTTCTCCAAGTGCTGAATGGCCCTCTCCAGATCATAAGGCAGATCCAGGTTCTCCCCCTCGCTAACCTCAAAGCGGAGCGCCCGTTGGTCAAAGAGCTGGTCCTTGCAGCACCCTTCCAGCGCAACCTCCACCATAGCGCCCTCATCGGGCTTGACATAGCCTTCACCGCGAGTCCCTATTCTGCGGATGATTCCCCCATCTTCCTCTTCCGTCAGATCTTCTTCCTTAAACAATTCCACCTCAAACACAAGCGTGGCGTTATGGGGGGATCGTTGGAGGACTGTCTGCTGAACCCTAGGCATATCCTGGTTTGCAGGTGATGTGGCCCACCTCCCCCACCTTCATGGTTGCTACGGCAATGTCCCAAGCCTTGATGACCTCCCCTTTTCCCAGGTCAAAGGAGAATTTGTCCTTGCGATCCACGCTGGAGTCAAACTTTGTGCCCTCTAACAGCCAGCCAGTGTAGTGGACAAAGACTAGGTCCCCAGTCATGGGCATCTCTGTACCTGTGCCCTCTCTCTTGATGACCTTCAGCACTCCTTCATCCTGTTTGGGGCTGACGTCCACTTCCTTCTTGGGCAGCGGCGCTGGCTGCGCCGCACTCTCGGTCGCCTTCATCTCCTTGGCTGTCATCTCTGCGTGGCGCGAAATTTTTCCGGGAGATGGCGCAGGCGCGAGTGCACTCTGGGCCGCAGGCGGGGGCGCTACCTGCAGGGCATGCGGCAGGCCGGACACTACGGCGCTGACTGCTGACCGCGCGGAGGCTGGAGCACCTCTCAGGAAACAGGTTTAATTGACACAGTTCCACGTGGCTGGGGAGGGCTCAGGAAACTTACAACCATGGCGGAAGGCAAAGGAGAAGCAAGTATCTTCTTCACAAGGCAGCAGGAAAAAGAAAACAGGCGAAACTTCCTCTTACAAAAAAACCATCAGATCTCATGAGAACTCACTCACCAGCACCAGCACAGCATCGGGGAAACTGTCCCTGTGATCCGACCACCCCCCACCAGGTCCCTCCTCGGATGTGTGGGGATTACAATTCGAGATGAGATTTGGATGGGGACAGAGAGCCAAACCATATCAGTATGTCTATTCAGAAAAATGTTTATACATATATATATATATATATATATATTTTTTTTTTTTTTTTCAGAGTGTTACTCTGTCACCCAGGCTGGAGTGCAGTAGCGCGATCTTGGCTCACTGCAACCTCTGTCTCCCGGGTTCAAGCGATTCTCCTGCCTCAGCCTCCCGAGTGGCTGGGATTACAGGCGCCCACCACCACGCCCAGCTACATATACATATATGTATTTTTAGCAGAGACCGGGTTTCACCATGTTGGCCAGGCTGGTCTTGAACTCCTAACCTCAGGTGATCCGCCCGCTGGTGTAAGCCACTGAGCCTGGCCAGAAAAATGTTATTTATATTCTAATGGTACCAACTTCAATACCCTTTATCACTCTGAACCACAGTTTTTTAATTTAATAAGGAAAATTGGGTAGAAAAATGTATTAAAATATATATTAATCTATCAAATACTACACAAAGACAAGTCTTTAAATGGGTTAGGCAATATACTGAAGTTGAACACCAGTAAAACGTTGAGTAACCCCTCCATAGAATTCCCATAGAAATCTCTTCCTTACCATAAACCTAAGATCATTGCTCTCTCTCACTACCACAGGGATGTGATTTTAGCATTTGTATCCAATTTGCGGGTAGCCTAAGCCATCAGTGAGATATTTGGCATTCTGTATCTAAGCCTGTTCCCTCACCACCACACTTCTTCATTTCTCTTGGTTCTAGTCTATCTGTAGAAAACACTGAAAAGTGACAAGATGTCTATTTCAAAATTATACACTCATTGCTCACTAAATATTAGCTCTTCAATCACCTGGAGGTACCTGGTATCAGTCTCTCCCGCCTCTCTATGTAGAAGAGGGAGGGGTATTCTGACTGTTGGGTGGTTGTATATTCTCTCAGTTTTCAAAAGTGTCTACTAATTAAATGCCATTGGACATGTGCTCCTACTTCCTGTGGGGGATGAGACACAGTGTGACACAAAAGACAAAATGTCCTTTCTGTATGTTATTATGTCACTTTGTTCATATTCTGTGACCCTACACATTTATAATGTCACCTTTACCTTTCATTATGTTCATACGTGCACACTATATTCTGAGACCCCTCATTTCATTGTTGATTTGTCGATTTCTGAACAAACAGCAGTTTTAATTATTTTAACTTCAGACTTTTCAGTAGGAAAAGTCATATCTGATTTTTATTTTGCTTGAAAATGCTTCTTACTCATATTCTCCTCAGGATGAAATTCCCCTCATCCTGATACTCAGTAACCGCATTCATTCCATCCATTCCACCTGACTTTCTCCCCATCTATTAGCTCCTGCTGTATTCGTTTCTCATCTTATCAAGCTTAGGAAGAATATCGTCCATTATTTACCATTTCCTCTCTTCTATCATTAGTCAAAACTGTGTTTCTCCAAGTGTGGTCCATGAAACTACTGCCTCTGAATTACCAGGGGTACTTGCTAAAATGCATATTCCTAGGCCCCATTCAATCTGGAATGAATGAAGCTTGAAATCTGCAAATGGAATATGCGCCTCTGAAGTACATTATCGTTTGATAGCTGCTTCCCTAGCCTCTCTGCCCATCGCATGGCATCACTCTCACAAACCCTGACTCAGGATGAACCTGCCTTTCTGCCTTCTTATGGCCTTTAACTAACGGGTGAGTGGTGTGACTGAACGAGCATTCACCACAATCCACTTCAACAGGCTTCAAACACCACTGATAATCCTGATACAGAAGTCAGCATCTGCCACACATTCTCCCTATCAGCAGTGACCCAAGTGTTCAGTCCCAGCCAGTACCTCACTTCACTTATATTGAGTTTCCTTTAATGGGCCACTGTTGCTCTTTTCTCCCAATACTTGTGAGTCTGAGACACCCTAGTTTATCAAACATGTTCTAAATGGCACTGAAGCTCAAAGAGAAATGGTCTGGATGCCACTTCCCTTCTGCACAAATGGCTCTTTTATATCTCTATAAATTTGCAAAAGAAAAATAGATACTTCTAGAAGCAGGAGCAACCTCACTTATCAGACCATTGATAAGACAAACATAGTTACAACCATCCCCTGAACCATGCGTTGGGCACTTGCCTTATACCTGTTATCATGAGAGGGACTGTCCAAGTGGTTCATGCCAGAGAAAAAGAGAGTTTTCCCAATGTAAATGAACTTAACCTCTAAGGATTTAATACTTCTAGTAATTTCAAAATGATTTTAAAAAATTAAACTTCTTCTTTGCTCCTTAAATTTCCCTGTACCTCACACTGTAAATGAGTGCACAAGAAAGATTAAAAAAAAGATGGCACTAAAATTTTAGCTGTTATTTGGGAATGATGAAAATAGGAGTGATTTTTAAATTATTATTTTTACAAAGTAACATTTATTAATTTTGTAATTAGAAGGAAGAAAGATAATATTTATTTCACAAATATGCTCCAACTTGAAAATGCTTTGAAGATGAGGGGTGAGGTCAGCAGCCTGCTGTGTCAGTAAGGTACTTTAGCCTTGGGTCCTGTACACACTTACAACAGCAGGAAAATCTGGTGCTTTGGGAAAAGGTGTCCACAGGGGCTAAGGCACAAAATAAGAGGGCTGCATATGGACTGTGTGAAGTAATAAATTCCTGAAGGCCTGCTTATTCTATGTATTTAAAATTTAAAATTACCCATTCCAAGCATGGAAAAGACAGTTTAGGGTCTTTATAACCAAAGAGGATAAGAATGATCTGTTCTCCTTAATGGAACCCCAGAGACTAGAATTTAACTATTTCCTGGCTCCATTCCACTTCTACCACCCCAATTTGAGTCTAGAACTCAAAGTACAATTCATCCTAGATTCTATGCACATGTACAAATCATCACATTTGTTTTATCTAGAAGTGTAATGGTAACTTAGTGTTGCAAGAAAAGCCCTATGTCTATTCAGAAAATGTTATTTATATTCTAATGGTACCAACCCCTCCCTTGACTTGGCTCTGTAACCATTCTGGTAAAAAGGAAGAATTATGGTAAATAGGAGGGATTACAGGTTGAAGATGGACAATCACTCAAAACTTGAAAAGAAAAAGTCACTCCACTGCCTAAAGCACTTCAATGATTGCCCATTGCATTCAGAATAAAATTCAAGTTGCTTATCCTGACCTATGAAGCCCTAAACCCTTCCATTCCTCTGCCTTTCACAGTTTATCTTATGCCAGTCTCTCTCTGTGCCATCCTCATGGACATGAATAGTCTTCTTTGGTCTGAAGATTATTCTTGGTTGCTTTATATACTGCTTAATAATAAGAAGAAATTTGCCCCCTTTGAATTCCAAATAAGATAAAAGAAGTGGCTGGATGTTATCACAAGTACAACATTTCTGTTTGGGAAGTATGGAATACTTCTCAGCCATAAAAAAGAATGAAATTATACTTTTTGCAGCAATATGGATGGAACTGGAGGCCATTATCTTAAGTGATATAACTCAGAAACAGAAATTCAAAGACTGCATGTTCTCACTTATAAGTGAGAGATAAGTAATATGTACCTATGGACATGAAAAGTGGAATAGACATTGAAGACTCATTGGAGATTTTGGAGACTCCAGTAGACACTGGAAGGGTGAGAGGGAAGTGAGGGATGAGAAATTACCTGAAAGGTACACTGTACACTATTTGGGTGATGGGTACACTAAATGCTGAGGTTTCACCAGCACACAATATATCCATGTAACAAAACTGCACTTGTACCCCCTGAGTCTATTTTTAAAAGTGATTAAAATCTGTATGTTCTCCCCAACCAGCATTTGCCAGAACAGTGGTCCCCATGCGCCTGCAGGGACTTGACCAACTATTAGGGCAGAGGCCTGCTACTTATCTACTTCCATGGTGAAGAAAACCACAACAGCTTTGGTGACCAAGAATGTGGAATCCTTTGAGGAACCTCTGCTAGGGTCCAACCTGCAGACCCTGACCCAGCGATGGATGAATGAAGTACACTGACACACAGATATTCTGCTTTGCCAGTCCAGCTGAGTGTCTGAGCCACCTACAGACTCCCTGGAGAGTACTGTAAACAGTTGCAACTCCTCGATCAGTCAGTGAGACTTGCATTTATTTAGTAAAGATTAATTGACAAAGGTCATAGGAAAACACCATTAGAGGGTAACTGACATTGTGGACTTCCTGAGTAGAAAGCAATTAAGCACCCAGGGTACATCAAAGGTTAGTCTTAGGAAAACAAGTTAGTTAGATAAACTACTCTACATTATTTTGTATTTGTGCCTTAAGCTCTCTAGCTCCTGCAAAGAGACTCTGGCTGCCTTCAGCCAGACAATCAGAAGCTATGCAAACTCTCAGGCTTTCCAAGAGAGTTTGTGGCTATTACTATAACTATCATTAATATTTTTCCAATTGGCCTGATTGAACCCCCACAAACCTCAACTTCAGCAGAGAGCTGGAAGCAGGGTAAGGAACTGCAGTTGCCTTTGCAATTCATTGAGAATAAAGAGAAACTAAAGGGACTTCAAACTCATTTGAATAACCTTAGTCTCTTTGTGTCATAGAATATTCTTAAAATACTTTCAAGGTAAATCATGATATGACTCACAGAGGGAAAAGATCTGTCATTTTGGAGACCTTAAAATACTTGATTTTTAAAAACGTGTGCATTTTACTTACCCTTGTGATATAAAGTGCTAAGATTTCACAGGGGTTGTGTAAAAATGTGCATTTTATATTCAGAGAAAAGGCTGCAAGCACAGAGATGTCACTTCAGGGATTCAGTTTCTAGTTGTTATCTTATTGTCAATCCTTTCAGCTTGGTCATCTCTATATCCCCACACACCAGCTCATTAAAGTAAGATATTTGCTATGTTTTATGTATAATATAGAGAAAAGCAGACATCACTTTCCACAACTCATATGTTTCTGAAGTGATATGTACTCTTTGTAAGACTCAGAAATCATCCCTCTCTGCTTACCTAATCAAAAAGTAGAAAATCAAATATTTCTGGTATGATGCTGCTTTTCACCATTTTAAATGTGACTAGAAAAGGCTTGCATGCACCTTACTGTAGAAATAAAGGTAGACTACCCACATGAGAACAGGTGATTAATTCAAAGTTTGGGAGTGGGAAAGCTTTAGAGTGAGCAAAAAATGGGAGGGAAAGCGTGGGGGAAGGCTTCAAGTATGCTCTGATTGCATGTAGTTGGCAAGGGGAAGTTGGAAGTAGGTTAACTAGAAGCAGAGTATCTTATGTGGTTGGTTTGGGGAACATATTTTGCTTTATTTGGTTGGTTCTAAGTTGGAAACAAGGCAAAATAGGGAAGCTAACAGTCATTAATGATATCCTGACCACTTGGGACCAATTACTGCCAATGATGCGGTTTGGCTTCCTGGACTGGTGGCTTCAGAGATTGTGAATCAGAATTCTATTGTCATATCATCTGACCACTACTCATTTGAATATTTATCCTCTCAGCCCCCCATTATGGTCATTCTCTTACTTACGAGAGATTGACCAATTCAGGGGCAGCTAGAAACCCACATCTTCACCACTATGATATTGCCGAGTGGTCTCCATTGCAAACTATATTGTGAGGTCTTGACTTTTTGTTGTTGTGTCACCACTGAGAGGTGAGGCCAGTTGGACTTCCTGGGTCCAGTGGGGACTTGGGGAACTTCCCTGTCTTACAAGAGGATTGTATAAAGCACCAATCAGCACTCTGTAAAATGCACCAGTCAGCAGATTCTAAAAGTAGCCAATTGCCTGGAGGATTGAAAAAAGGGCATTCTGATAGGACAGGAACAGAATATGGGAGGGGCCAATAAGGGAATAAAAGCTGGCCACCCCAGCCAGCAGTGGCAACCTGCTCCCCTTTCCATGCTGTGGAAGCTTTCCTCTTCACAATAAACCTTGCTAGTGCTCAGTTTGGGTCTGTGCCATCTTTAAGAGCTGTAACAGTCACAGCGAAGGTCTGTGGCTTTATTCTTGAAGTCAGCGAGACCATGAACCCACCAGTAGGAACCAACTCCGGACACAGTATGGCAATGATCTCTGGTGAGAACAGCTGCCCAGTAGAATGTAAGACTTGGCAGAGGATGTGATGGACCTGCATCATGGCAGGTATGACCAAAGTGTTGCACGCTTTGTAGTTCCGTGTGCAGGGTGGAATGGCGCCCAGCGGCTTTTTCCCCCCTGTTGCTTGGCGAGTGAGAGGGAGGTTACAGTGTTACAGAATTCCTTCAGTGCCGCTTCACCAGCTGGAAATCTCTGTGGCTGCACTGACTTCTGTTCCGGCCCTTGCTCAGGCCTGCCGGGTTGCTCTGCCCACTTGGCCCAGCAGGCTGCGCTTGGCTCACATTACTGGCCCAGATCCTGTGGTCAGTGTGGCTGCGTGCTCAGCTCATAGCTGGACTGGGCATGCTGCAATTGGCTTCCATATTGGGCGCTGGTATCTAGATGAAGGGGAGGTGGTGGCGCCAGAATACTTGGAGATGACAGCAACTGCAAAGCCCCAAAGGGTGTTACAGCTTTTGCTTGGGGAGTCCTGAGGTCTGAGCCCCCTGGAAATGTTACAGTTCTCTCTGGTTCCTGCTGCCTGCAGCCCAGTGAACAGGGGTGCCTTACATCTCCTTTGTTACTGTCACCCGCAGCTTGGGGAGTTCCCACAACCAACAAGAATAAGGTGTGTGGACAGCAGAGAGTGAGAAAGGCAGAGAAGAATTTTATTGAGCGGCAGAAAAGCTCTCAACACAAGAGGGGACCTGAAGTGGGTAGACTTCTGTGTGAAAGGGGGCCTGAAAGCCGGCAGCCATCTGTGTGGCTGAGTATAGGATTTTTAAGGGCTCAGAATGGGGGAGTGCATGCTGATTGGGCCGGGGGAGGTCTTGGAAAAAGCACCATTTATTGGTTAAAAGGCATAGAGGATGTTCTCACTCCGGTTGTGGACTCTACCTAGAACTGGCAGTTGGGTTTTCAGGGGTCAGGCTGTCTTTGGCTTAAAGGTCGGGTTTCAAAAACAAAAATAATCACTAGTCCCTATAAAATGTTACAGAAGCAGAAATTCTAATTTTCCAACCCAGACCAAGAGAACATATAGGCCACAGACCTTGAAGATCTGCCTTAGAATGGCAATTATCTTTTTTCCATAAGGAAATGTGAGATGTAGAGCCTGTTTTACTTTGCCTGTTTCGTTGATTCAAATATAGTGAGAAGTATTAGCAATAACACAGAGCTACCATGAGTAGCCAACAAGAAATCTAGAGAAATGTGGTTATTATTACTTGTACCAATGAATTGAGGCTGATTTATATTTCGTATAGGGAAGAGACAATGTCATTAACTTCTGCCAGAGTTATTGGTGATAAAATTATTGGTGATGGTTTTCTTACAGTTTTTTTCTATTTGTACAATTCTCACTCTGATTATTCACACAGTGAGTCAGTAAGTCCCCCAGGTAGACTGCCTGAATAATCAAGGGTGGCCACATTTGGAAGCTCCAGTCTGAGGTGGAATTTCCAGACTTCCGTTTGGAAACTGGGGTTGACCCACTGATATTTTATAATGGCCTATCTGAATCCTTAGGAACTTCTCCTTTGAAGATTTACAGAAGACAATAACTTTAGGCCGGGCTCGGTGGCTCACGCTTGTAATCCCAGCACTTTGGGAGGCTGAGGCAGGCGGATCACGAGGTCAGGAGATGGAGACCATCCTGGCTAACACAGTGAAACCCCATCTCTACTAAAAAAAAAAAAAAAAAAAAAAAAAAGGCCAGGCGTGGCAGCGGGCGCATGTAGTCCCAGCTACTCAGGAGGCTGAGGCAGGAGAATGGCGTGAACCCAGGAGGCGGAACTTGTAGTGAGCTGAGATGGCGCCACTGCACTCCAGCCTGGGCGACAGAGCAAGAATCCATCTCAAAAAACAAAAACCAACCAACCAAACAAACAAACAAAAACATTAACTTTAGTTAAGGCTTTTTTTTTTGGCATAAAGTTCTGTTAGAATTTTTTCTTTAGTTTTTCTATTACCTTCTTTCTTTGTATGGGCCTCAACCTTAAAATAGCCAACTCTAGAAAGTAGAGTGCCTTAACTTATTCATTTTCATGGGGTTTCCAGCAGAGATGATGAATTTCTTTTTTTCCCCAAAGCATCCCAAATTCATGTAGTACTCTAAAAGCATACCTGCTCTATGTTTACTACATGGTCTTCAGCTAATTGACAAGCTCTAGTAAGTGTAATAAATTCCATTATATGGGTTGATTTTACCTCAGATAGAAAATATATTCTAAAGTAGAGCTTAAATTAGTGATAATTTTCAATATCAGTTTTGAGGTATGATCCATCAATGAATAACATTGAATCAGAGTTCACAATGAGAGTCAGTCTCTCATCAATCTGAGTGAGGTACAGAAACTCCCCTAACTGACTTATAACCATCATGAGGTTCCCTTCTTCTGGCAGGGGGAGAAGAGTGGCAGTTTAAGGAATTGCATCAGTGAATAGTAAAGCGAGAGAGAGGGAGTAAAACTCTCATAAGAAGTTGATCAGCTGGTTGGAAAGTATTGCATGCTCTTTGTCAGTGGTTATGTCTACACTGGCCAGGGAATCATGATGTGAGGTGGGGAGCCTAGAAATAGTTTAAAAGAAGCATCAACAAATGTTGCAGTGGAAGCTGTTGCCTTAAGACAAGGGCTATAAGCCTTTGCAGCTGGGTCAAGGGTAAGGCTATGGAAAATGATGAATTTTTGATGGTTTCCATGACATTGAGTTAAAAACAAAAAAGCTTGTACAAGTTGTCCACGCACAATTAGACAAAATGGCATATTGTAGTCAGGGGTGCCTAATTATGAAAGGGAGTGCCTAACTACCACAGGAAGAGGCTACTGAAGAGCCTTCTTGAGTTACAGAATTTATATTTGGGCCCCCACAAAAGACAGTTTCTCACTAAGGACTCGGCCAATTCATAAAAAGAGATTGCAAGCTCAGAAAAATTTCGCAGCCATTGTCTACAATATCCAGTTAAATCTAGAAATCCTCTCAATTGTCATTTTGCGAGGCATCGAGGTGAAGTTTCGATAGTGTTCTGCCTACCAATAGAGACAAAATAATTTCACCCTCTTAAGATAACTTATGCCCTAAATACTAGCCTGTCTTTTGACAAAATTATAATTTATCTTTTGAAACATTATGTTCTTTTTCTGCTATGGCTGAGAGCAAGTATTTACTTGCTCTCACCTTCTCACCAGCTTCCTCGTTCTCTGAAGAAAGCAGTGGAGATCATCTGATCCTGCATATATTGCATCAAAACCGAATCACAAGTGAAATTTAGATCTTTAAGTCTTGATTGAGGACTTGTGGAAAGTAAGAGGGGGCTTTAGTGAGCCCCTGGGGTATGACTATCCGGGTATATTTGTTGTCCTCTCCAGATGAAGGCAAAGTCGTTGCCTGTTCTGGTTTGGAAGCACACTGAAAAATGCACAGTAAAGATTCAATATGGTGAAGCAAGTGGTTTTGGGCAGAATTGATGACAGGATAGGTACTACTAGGAAGCAAAGCAAAACAATTTTGTTGATCTTTCCTGAGGTCATGAAAAAAGTGTACCAGCAGAACAAGTGTGGTGTATGGGCTATTGCAGCGTATGAGAAAGTCTTTGGTTATAAGGTCGTCAACTACAGTTTTGAAGCCTTCCTTTGCTTCTGGTTTTTCAAGGAATATCAGGGAAGTTTGACCATGGTTTACTAGGATACTTCTGAACTTGACTAGGTTCTGCTCCAGTAATTTCCCATATAAATGGATTTTTTTAGTTTGTAGAGTGTTAGGTAGAGTGTTGAGGTCTTTATCTGGAGCGTATGTCAAATATAATGAAGGAGACAAACGTATATCCAGAGACGACATATAGAGGAACCCTCAGGAGACTCTGCTGTGCATTTATTGTTTTTCTGAGACAGAGTGTTGCTCTGTTACCCGGGCTGGAGTGCAGAGGTGTGATCTTGGCTCACTGCAACCTCTGCATCCCGGGTTCAGGTGATCCTCCCATTTTAGCCTCCCAAGTAGCTGGGATTACAAGCATGTGCCACCACACCAGCTAATTTTCGTATTTCTTTTTTTTTTTTTTTTAGTAGCGGCAGGGTTTCACCGTGTTATCCAGGCTGGTCTTGAACTCCTGTACTCAAGTGGTCCACCCACCTCAGCCTCCCAAAGTGCTAGGATTACAGGCGTGAGCCACCATGCCCAGCTGGTGCACTTACTATTATAATTCTATTTGAAAATTAAGTTACTCCCCATTAAATTTGCAAGAGTGTTATAATAGAGCAGGGAGAAATGTTTTTAAGTCAAGTACCCAAAGGTTGTAGTTACAGTAGGAGATAGAAGGAATCTGTGGGTTATTTGAGATACCTGCTACTTGCTTCCTATGAGGAAAATGTTGAGCAAAATTGCCAGGGTTTAATGTAGAAAGAGTTAGTGCCTGGCTGGGCATGGTGGCTCACACCTGTAATCCCAGCACTTTGGGGGGCCAAGGCAGGCAGATCACCTGAGGTCAGGAGTTCTAGAGCAGCCTGACCAACATGGCAAAACCCCATCTCTACTAAAAATACAAAAAAAAAAAAAAAAAAAAAGCAGGGTATCATGATGCATGCCTGTAGTCCCAGTTACTCAGGAGGCTGAGGCAGGAGAATCGCTTGAACCCAGGAAGCGGTTGCAGTGAACCGAGATTGTGCCAATGCACTGCAGCCTCAGTGACAGAGTAAGACTCTGTCTCAAAACAAAAAAAGAAAGAAAGAAAAGAAAGAGTAGCGCCCATATTGCCAGGAATTGCTGAGGTTGGCCACCTATATTTATGGTTAATTCACCTTGAATGTTAAATTTTAAATCAGGATATTGGGTACCTTCATTGATCTAAATTAAGGGGTCTTTTGGTCTTATTTTTACTGGAAAATCATTTTTCAGGTGTCCCTTCTGTTTTCAATATCTGCAGGTGTCCTCTTCTATGGGTCGTCCACTCAACTGTTTGATCTGCAGGGCCGTAAGGTTATTCTGGATCCTGTCTTGTTATTGTCCTAGGGCTCTGCAAAAATGTCAGCCAGGTGTTGAAGTTCAGGTAAAGTGGCTATTTCCCATTCTAATTTTGATCTAATTATTGTCTCCAATTTCAGGTTTAATTC